>NC_000013.11:69014166-69165681 GCF_000001405.40 Homo sapiens | reverse complement strand
GCCACTGTTACAATACCACACACATAGTGTACAGGAGATACAATTTCCCAGGTTATTTGCTTCTAAAAATTTTTATGAAATGTATTACTTCATCACCAAACAAACTTAATATTATATACTATTCAGAATGGTCACTGACATCTATGTATAGGGGGAGACAAAAACAAAACTGTTGCTAAGTTTTTCTTTTATTTTTTGGCTTATAAGTGACACATTTATAATTATAATGATAATTTATGAATTATAAATTCAATTTCATTTTGTACCCTGGCAAATATTTAATATTAAGTTTTTGAGGTTGACATAAGTTGATTTATTCATTATGTAACACAATATTACTGTGAACCTACTTTTTCCAAATCATATATAGTTTGTGTGTGCCTGTTTGTGTTTAGTTCTTGTTTTGATTTTTGTACTAGCCTTAAAATCTATCCCTTAATCACTAAGAAGCACTATAGATAACACTCCTAAGAAATTCATTAAACCTTACAAACATAGAAAATATGTTCATATGTTAAATTTTTAATAGAATATATATATATTTGGTATACAGCATATTGTTTTGATATACATACACATAGTGAACTGGTTACTACAGTCAAGTTTGTTAACATATCCATTTATTTACATACTTACCGTTTTGTGTGTGTGTTTTGTGTCTATGTGTGTCATATGAATAGTTATGATCTACTATATTATTAAATTTTAAGTGTATAATACAGTATTATTAACTATAGTCTTCATGCTGTACATTAAATATTTACAACTTATTTATCCTACAATTTTAATTTTGACTGTCTCCTCATATCCCTCACTTCCAAGCTTCATTCAACCACTATTCTACTCTCTGCTTCCAAGAATTTGGCTATTTTAGAATCCATATGTAAGTGAGATCATGCAGTTTTTCTTTCTATTCCTAGTCACTTAGCATAATTTTTCAGGTGTATACATGTTGTCATAGATGACATAATTTTCTTCCCTTTTGAAGTGGAATAATATTCCACTTTAAATTGTGTGTGTGTGTGTGTGTGTGTGTGTGTGTGGTTGACCTTTGAACAATGCAAGGGTAAACAATGTTGATGCCCTGCACAATTAAAAAAAAAATCCACATATAACTTTTGGCTCTTTGAAAATTTAACTACTAATAGCTTATTGTTGAGTAGAAGCCTTATAAACAACATAAACAATAGATTAACATGTATTTTTGTATGTTATCTGTATTATATATAGTATTCTTACAATAAATTAAGTGTAGACAAAAGACATTAACAAAATCACAAGGGAGAGAAAATACATTTAGAGCACTGTACTGTATTTATTGATACCGTAAGTTTACCATGTCTGTTTACAAGATGAATTGTCTGTCTGAAACTGTGCACAACCACAGTTGCAGACCTCAGTCTCTGCAGTACATATCAAGTAACTCAACTTTTACTTATAATGTCATGACTTTTCTCTGCAAGCATCACTAGTGGCACTTCATAAGGATCTCAAGATGTTATTCAAGGTTTACAGTATTGAACTAAGCATGCTGAAAAATACACAAAATGGAGGGAGATATCACTTTTTGCCATGACAAATAATTTACTTCAGATATAAATTGCTCATGCAGAGATCATGAGGCTTAAATAGTGTTTTAAATGATACAACACTTCAGGTCATCCTAATAGCAAAAGGAAATGTCTAAAAATTATTACAGTACTACAGTAAGTATTACAGTTAAGTTTCAAACTTTCAAAATCTGAAATATTTGCACACTGACATGAAACCAGGACTGGAAAGTCTCACACAGACACAAAAACTACTTAACAAACTTTGTTTTATGCATAAAATTCTTAAAAATATTATGTAAAATTACCTTCAGGCTATGGGTATAATTAATACATTAAACATAAATGAATTTTATGTTTACACTGAGGAGCCATCCATAAAATATTTCCTAATATATATGTAAACATTTCAAAATATTTTTAAAAATCAGAAATCCAAAACACTCTTGTACCAAGTATTTTGGATAAGGACTACGCAACCTGCATACAGACATAACTCAGAAATATTTTAAGTTTGGTTCAGACCACTGCAATGAGCAACTGTTATCAAAAAATGAGTCATGCAAATATTTTGGTGTTCTAGGACATATAAAACTTATGTTTATATTATACCGTAGTCTATTAAGTGTACTATTATTCTTAAACAAAGTATATATATTTGTGTGTGTGTATATATACTTTATATTTATATATATATGCCAATGTACATATCTTAATTAAAAATACTTTATTGCTAATCTCACTGCTGGTATATATCCAAAAGAAAGGAAATCAGTATATAAAAGAGATATCTGCACTCCCATGTTTGTTGTAGCACCATTCACAATAACACAAATTTGGAAGTAACCTAAGTGTCCATCAACGGATGAATGAATAAAGAAAATGTGGTACATATACATAATGGAATACTATTCAGCCATAAAAAAGAATGAGATCCTGTCATTTGCAATGACATGGATGAGACTGGATGTCATTATACTAAGTGAAATATGCCAGGCACAGAATGACAAACATCCCATGTTCTCACTTACTTGTGGGATCTAAAAATCAAAACAATAGAACACGTGGATATAGAGGGTAGAAGAATGGTTACCAGAGGCTTGAAACGGAAGTGGGTGGGTGGGTAAGAGGTGGGATGGTTAATAAATACAAAACAAAAAATTAGTTAGAATGAATAAGACCTAGTATTTGACAGCACAATAGAGTGACTAAAGACAATAATAATTTAACTGTAAATTTTAAAATAACTAAAACAGTATTATTGGATTATTTGTAACACAAAAGATAAATGCTTTAGTAAATGAATACCCCATTTTAAATAATGTGGTTATTATGCATTGCATGCCTGTAGCAAAATATCTCATATACCCCATAAATATATACACCTAATAATATGTACCCACAAAAAATATTTTAAGATCACACTGTATCAAATAAATACATAATATATAGTTATTTTTCAGTTAAAATTGCAGTAAAATGTTAAAGATTACTTGAAAAAACACTTTATTTTTAAAAAATGCTAATGATCATCAGAGAGACTTCAGCAAGTCAGAATCTTTTTTGCTGATAGAGGGCCTTGCCTTAATGTTGAAGGCAGCTAACTGATCATGGTGACAGTTGCTGAAGGAATAGCATTGAATCTATGAATTACTTTGGTCAGTATGGCCATTTTCACAATATTGATACTTTCTATCCATGAGCATGGAATGTTTTTCCATTTGTTTGTGTCCTCTCTAATTTCCTTGAGCAGTGGGTTGTAGTTCTCCTTGAAGAGGGTCTTCACTTCCCTTGTTATCTGTATTCCTAGGTATTTTATTCTTTTTGTAGCAAGTGTGAATGAGAGTTCATTCAAGATTTGGTTCTCTGCTTGCCTGTTTATTGGTGTATAGGAATGCTAGTGATTTTTGCACATTGATTTTTGTATTCTGAGATTTGTGGAAGTTCTTTTTAGCTTAAGAAGTTTTCGGGCTGAGATGACAGGGTTTTCTAGATATAGGATCATGTTATCTGCAAACAAAGACAATTTGACGTCTTCTTTTCCTATTTGAATACATTTCTTTCTGTTGCCTGGTTGTGCTGGCCAGAACTTCCAGTACTATGTTGAATACGAGTGGTGAGAGAAGCCATCCTTGTCTTGTGCTGGTTTTCAAGGGGAATGCTTCCATCTTTTGCCCATTCAGGATGATACTGGCTGTACATTTGTTATATATATTATATTGAGGTATGTTCCTTCAACACCTAGTTTACTGAGATTTTTTACATGAAGGGATGTTGAATTTTATTGAAGGCCTTTTCTGTGTCCATTTTAGATAAACATGTGGTTTGTGTCTTTAGTTCTGTTTATTTTATGAATGCCTTTTATTGATTTGCATATGCTGAACCAACCTTACATCCTGTGGATGAAGCCAATTTGATTGTGGTGCGTAAGCTTTTTGATGTGCTGCTGGACTCAGTTTGCCAGTATTTTATTGAGGATTTTTGCATTGATGTTCTTCAGAGATATTGGCCTGAAGTTTTCCTTTTTTGTTGTATCTATGCCAAGTTTCTGTATCAGGATAATGCTGGCCTCATAAAATGAGTTAGAGAGGTGTCCCTCCTTTTCAATGGTTTGGAATAGGTTCAAAAGAAATGTAGCAACTCCTCTTTGCACCTCTGGTAGAAATCAGCTTTAAATCCATCTGGTCCTGGCCTTTCTTTTGTTAGTAAGCTATTTATTACTGCCTCTATTACAAAACTCGTTATTGGTCTATTCAGCAATTCAATTTCTTCCTGTTCAGTCTTGAGAGAATGTATGAATCCAGGAATTTATATATTTCTTCTAGATTTTCTAGTTTATGTGCATAGAGGTGTTTATAGTATTTTCTGATGGTTGTTTGTATTTCTGTAGGGTCAGTGGTAATATCCTCCTTATCATTTCTGATTATGTCTATTTGCTTCTTCTCTCTTTTCTTCTTTATTAGTCTAGATAGTGGTCTATCTATTCAAATGATTTTTTCAAAAAAAAGAACAGATTCTGGATTCATTGATTTTTGAAGGGTTTTTCATGTCTCTTTCATTTCTGCTCTGATCTTGGTTATTTCTTGTCTTCTGCTAGCTTTGGGGTTTACTCTTTGTTCTCTAGTTCTTTTAATTGAGATGTTAAGTTGTTGTCTATAGATCTTTTTAGCTTTTTGATGTGGGCATTTAGTGCTATAAATTTCCCTGTTAACACTGCATTAGCTAAGTTCCATAGATTCTGGTATAATGTCTCTTTGTTCTCATTAGTTTCAAGTAACTTCTTGATTTCTGCCTTAATCTCGTTATTTATTCAGAAGCCTTTCAGCGGCAGGTTGTTCAATTTCAATGTAGTTGTATGGTTTTGAGTGAGTTTCTTAATCTTGAGTTCTAATTTGATTGTGCTGTGGTCTGAGAGACTGTTATGATTTCAGTTCTTCTGCATTTCCTGAGGAGTGTTTTACTTCCAATTATGTGATCAATTTTAGAGTAAGTGCCATGTTGTGATGAGAAAAAAAATATATTGTAGTTTTTTGGCGGGTGGTGGAGACTGATATCTTTTAAAATAAAACAACAATGAAGTTTACCATATTGATTGACTCTTTCTTTCGTGAAAGATGTCTCTGGAGCATGCGATGCAATTTGAAAGCATTTTACCCACAGTATAACTTCTTTCAAAATTTGAGTTAGTCCTCCCAAATCCTGTTGTTGTTTTATCTACTAAGTTTATATAAGACACTAAAATAACTTTTATCTTTTTTAATGACTTTCAAAGCATCTTTGCCAGGGTAGATTCCATCTCAGAAAACTTTCTTTTCTCATTCATAAGAAGCAACTTTTCATCCATTGAAGTTTTATCATGCAATTGTAGCAATTCATTCATAGCTTCTGGCTCTACTTCTAATTCTATTTCTCCTCCTACTTCCACATCTTCATTTACTTCTCCCACTAAATTGTTTTTTTCTTAATTTTAAAACTGTTTATTTATTGTGAATACATAGTAGATGTAAGAATGTATAGGGTACATAGATATTTTGATACAGGCATACAATTTGTAATAATCACATTCAGGGTAGGTATCCATCACTTCAAGCGTTAATCTTTTCTTTGTGTTACAAATAATCCAATTATACTCTTATTTGTTATAAAAAGTACAATAAATTATTGTTGATTGTGGTCACCCTGTTCTATCAAATAATAGATCTTACTGAACTCTTTAAAGTCGTCCATGAGTCTTGGAATCTACTTTTTCTAAACTCCTGTTAACGTTGATATTTTGAACAACTCCTGAGAATCACAAAACTTCTTAATGGCATCTATAAACCTTTCCAGAAGATTTCAATTTTCTTTTCCCAGAGGAATTACTATATATGAAATCCCTAGTATTAAAAGTTATTTATTAAATGATAAGTCTTGAAAGCTAAAATTCTTGATCCATGGCAGCAAATAGATATTGGTTAAAAGGCACGAAAACAACATTAATTTCCTTGTTCCATCTTCAACAAAGCTCTTGGATGACTAGAAGCATTGTTAATGAGCTGTATTATTGTGAAATAAATATTTACTTCTTAGGAGTAGATCTCAACAGTGGGCTTGAAATATTTAGTAAGCCAAGCTGTAGATAGATGTACTGTCATCCATGTTTTATTGCTCTGTTTAGAAAGCATAGGCAGAGGCAGGGCACCGTGGCTTAACGCCTGTAATCCCAGCACTTTGGGAGGTGGAGGCGGGCGGATCACGAGGTCAGATCGAGACCATCCTGGCTAACACGGTGAAACCCCATCTCTACTAAAAATACAAAAATTTAGCCAGGCGTGGTGGTGGGCGCCTGTAGTCCCAGCTACTCGGGAGGCTGAGGCAGGAGAATGGCGTGAACCTGGGAGGCGGAGGTTGCAGTGAGCCGAGATCACGTAACTGCACTCCAGCCTGGGCGAGAGAGCGAGACTCCGTCTCAAAAAAAAAAAAAAAAGAAAAAAGAAAGAAAGAAAGCATAAGCAGAGCGGATTTAACATAATTCTAAGGTCTCTAGGGTTTTCAGAATGGTAGTGAGCATTGGCTTCAACTTAAAGTCACCACTGCATTCCTCCCTTACAGGGGAGTCAGCCTGTCTTTGAAGCTTTGAAACCAGGCATTGACTTCTCCTGTTTAGCTCTGAATGCCCCAGATTGCATCTTCCGACAATATAAAGCTGTTTTATCAACAATGAAAAATCTGCCGTTTAGTGTAATCACTTTTATCGATCGATTGTCTTTGCTACTCCTTCTGGATAACATGCTGTTACCTACATCAGCACTTCAAGGTTTATCTTGCACTTTTGTGTTATGCACATGGTTTCTTTCATTAAACCTCATGAACCAATCTTTGCTAGCTTTAAATTTTTCTTCTGCAGCTTCTTTACCTTTTTTACCCTTCATAGAATTAAAGAGAGTTAAATCCTTGCTCTAGATTAAGGTTTCAGCTTAAGGGAGGGTTGCGGCTGGTTTCATCTTCTATCCAGACTATTAAAACATTCTCCCTATCAGCAATAAGGCTGTTTTGCTTTCTTAACATCTGTGTGTTCATTAAAATAGCATTCTTATTTCCTCCAAGAATTTTTCTTTTGCAGTTGGAACTTGGCTACTTATTTGACACAAAAGACCTAGCCTGCCTTGGCTCTCAGCATGCTTCATCACTGAACTTAATCATTTTTAGTTTTTTATTTGAAGTGAGAGATGTATAACTAATCCTTTCACTTAAAAACTTAGAGACCATTGTAGGGTTTCTAAATGACCTAATTTAATATATTATAATATTGGTTTCTTTCAGCAAATAGGGGGTCCAGAGAACGAAGAGAGATATAAGGGTATAGTGGTCAGTGGAGCAGTCAAAAGATACACATCATCAATTCAGTTCACTCTTTTATATGGATGTGGGTCATGGCATCCCAAAACAATTTTATTAGGAACATCAAAGATCACTGATTACATATGACCATTGTGATGCTTAATATTGAATGTCAAATTGATTGGATTGAAGGATGCAGAGTATTGTTCCTGGGTGTGTCTGTGAGGGTGTTGAAAAGGAGATTAACATGTGAGTCAGTGGGATGAGAGAGGCAGACCCACCCTCAATCTGCGTGGGCACCCTCTAATCAGCTGCCAAGGTGGCTAGGATAAAAGGAGGCAGAAGAACGTGGGAGGACGGGACTGGCTGAATCTTCGGCCTTCGTCTTTCTGCCATGCTGGATGCTTCCTGCCCTTGAACATCAGACTCCAAATTCTTCAGCTTTTGGACTCGTAGACCTACACCAGTGGTTTGCCAGGGACTCTAGGACCTTCAGCCACAGACTGAAGGCTGCACTGTCGGCTTCCCTACTTTGGAGATTTTGGGACTCGGACTGTCTGCCTTGCTCCTCAGCTTGCAGATAACCTATTGTGGGATTTACCTTGAGATCATGTGAGTCAATAGTCTTTAATAAACACCTTTTCATATACACATCTATCCTTTTAGTCCTGTCCTTCTAGAGAACCCTGGCTAATAGAATCATAACAGAAAATAATACTGAAAAAATAAAATTTTGTGCCAATTACTAGTAAGTGACAAAAACGTGATGTGAGCATGTGCTGTTGGAAAAATGTTACCACTGGACTTGCTTGACACAGGTTTGCCACAAACTTTCAATTTGAAAAATCACAAAAACTGTGAAACACAATAAAATGAGATATGCCTGTACATATAATCCTATTTTCTTTATTCATGAATCATTTGATGGACTCAGGTTTTTTCTAAATATTGGCTATTGTGAATAATGCTATGAATATTGGAGAGCTGCTGCTTCTGTGAGATAGTGATATCATTTCCTTTGGAAAATGCATATACATATATATATATATGTAGTGTTTACTAATTGTAGGATTAATTGACAAAGTAAAATACAGGGGACCTTGTGCGGTCCATGATACAATGTGCTTTTTGTCAAATGAATAGGTTATTTTTGTTTGAGGAAAGTCACAGAGTGCCAAAAAAGGCATATGCGATGTCACTTATCATAGTGATATATATTTTAAAATATATTTAGCTGCGATCATAAACATAAAATACTACCAATGTTTCTATAAAAATAACACATTTTCAATGTATAATATTAAGTAAGGAACTGAGGTCACTGATTAAATCTCAAGAAATGTTGTTTCTGATTTATATGTTTCATATAATTTTTCTAAATGTTAGACACCAGTAATGAAAATAAAGAGTTAAAATAGTCCTAAATCAGAAACTAAACAGTATTTTATTAACTAAATATTATCTAACTTTACATATCAAATTGTTACATTAAAAGGAATTAGTATTTTTTTAAATGTACCAATGATACTTATGTTGGGAAAATAATTTTTTAGAGAATTCCAGCAATCATGGGCAAGGTTAATACTGTTTTTAAAAATTGTTTATTAGAAGAGATTATTTTTGGAATTCAAATATCACTGTTCTTTAACATATCTTGAGATTTTGCAAATGCATTAGCAATTTAATGGTACATACTGTGGAATAAAATTCATATTATAATGAAAATTATATTTACTGCAGTTAAGTACCGAGAAATATAGTAATTAGAAATAAATCACTTCAAATTATGCAGCTTCTTACACTTATGTGCTTGATTACTTTTTAATATGTGACATCATTCCAGCAGTTCTTGCTTCGTCATTAGTGTATTCAAATTTGATGTATCCTTTACAGAGCATGTGTGCAATTTATTTGGTACTAGGTTATAAATTTTAGAAAATTAAGTTCTGTGTTCATTAAGTCTGAACATTGTGATAAATGAAAGACTTTTGAATCTTTAATGATATATGAACTAACCAACAATGAGCTTATTTTCAAGATTTGCCTTTGTAAAATATTATATCACAGAAGAAATTATTGCCAATATCGTCGTGATTTTCCTCCTATGTATACTCAAACTATTCCTCCATAGAAAACTATGCCATATAGATGTGTACATATCTGTAATGCTGTGATATAGTAATATATATTATGTAGTATATCATTGTATTATACTTATTAGTGTAAATTATATTAGTTCACAAAATGACATAAACATGTTTTCATGAGAGTATATTACAGAAAAAAAACCCTGATGCAGACTAGGTAGTTAGGAAATGGTTTTCTGAGAAGTTTTGCTGTAACAAGTTTGAAAAGTATACAATTATATATTTGTTTTCTTGTTAATTTTGATATATCTTCATAAACTTGCAAGTAGAGGTGATAAATGAACAGATAAAAATATGTTTCTGAACCTCATAAAAGAAGTCTAATTTGTGATATAGATTTCAGTTATTGGTTTATAAGAAAATTAAAGGTCATTGTATAAAACAGCTTTCTTACAGATAAGATAGAAACACAGCATATAACATGGTAAAACAATCGATACAGGTTTTGAAAAAAGAATTTGAGCTGACAAAGACGTTATTAAAAAAAAATCAAAAGATGTACCATCATGGAAGTTAAGAGAAAAGATGGTGTCAATGTTTAATAAATTAACAGTGGTAAAAAATTATGCATTATGCATTAAATCAGTGATTTTATTTATTTATTTATTTTTACTAAATCATTTATTCTGTATGTCATGTTCTGTTCTGTGTCCTGGAGAAAAAGCAGTGAATAAGACAAAGCCCTTTCTCTCAAGAAACATATTTTCTCACTATGGAAGAAAACAAAAATAAAGAATAAGCTAACACATACTATGTAAGATGGTGATAAATGCTATGAAGAAAATGTAGAGGAAGTGAGTTACGGTGTCTTGGGATAAAGGAGCTTCCTCTTGTGGTTAGGCAGAGAGGGAAGGGCTTACTCCTAATGCATATTTTGGGAGAAACCTAAAGAAAGTAAGTGAGAAAATTATGTTCATAACCGAACACATTTTTAAGACAGAGAGGATATCAACTGCAAAGTTTCTGAGGCAGGAAAGGGCTTCTCAAACCTCCAGGAGACTAAGTTAGTAGTTAAGCAAACTAGATGTGACATGATTTGAGATTAAGGTAAAAAAGGTAGTGGGATGTAAGATCATATCAGACTTTAAAGACCATGCTACGGAATATGGATATTATTTTAAGTAAGTTGGAAATTCAAAGGCATATTTCAGCAGAGAAGATCAAAATATGACTTTCTTTGTTTTCAAAAAAGTATTCTGATGCTGAATTGAGAATAGACTGTAGTAAGCTGAGAAAGGAGGCAAATACACCATTTACGTACACTTTTCTTTCATCTGATGTGCCGTGCACTAGGACTTAGCTATGGAGGTGGTAATAAATGCTTGGATTCCGCATGTATTTTGAGGCAACCCTGAAAGTTTTGCTGAATTATTGCATAGACTTATATGTATTCTGAGTGGATTGTGGAGCCATTCTCCAAGACATTGACTAATATTAGTTGAAATGGTTTCAGATTTGAAAATGTTATTTATTTAAAGATGCATTGTATTAATTTCTATCATGTGTAATAAATAAAACATTTCTTATTTATGAGAATCCACATCAGTTAATATTTTCTTAATTGTATAAATTACAAATAATTGTCATGTTCAAGGAGAGCTTTCTTTAATTTAAGCGATCTAAATTCACTGACTTTATAAAATTGTAACCTAAAGTAAAAATCCTCAAGATTTTACTTAGCCTGCATAGGCTCCTTATAATTGAATTAATTATGTTAACTAACTATTGGAAGGATGAAATATAAATATACCGCATACTATCTTTATGACTCTGAAAAATTCTGAAACATTAAATTGAGAATCACCATGAAACATGCAGGAAAAACTACTAAAGAGTCAGGATGAATTAGTAAAGTCATTTCAATGAGATTTAAATTTAAAGTAGAAAATGAAAAAAATAATAGTTTTTTACAAGTCAAAAATAGCTGCTTTGTTTTTAAAACTAAATTTATTCATCTGAAAAGTGTACATAGATGGGAAAAACAATTTTGTGAAACTAATATCAGAATGCCTTATTTAAGCACACTTTTACTATGATCTAACAGTGTGGTATATGTCTAAATAAACTGTCACTCATCTTATATTAATAGATAATACCATTTCCTATCAATAAGAAATTTCTGCTTGTACTTAGTTCTGATAAGATTACTTGGAAAAAATTATGTTTAACATTAAATTCATTTATTCATGCATTCATCCACTTCCCTCTCATACCTACTTATTGAATTCGATCTGTGTGAGGTACTATCTTCTCCTCTGAAGATATGTAATATCAAATGCACATACATTGTGTGTGTACATGTATGTATATGTGTGTATGTATACATATGTTTACACACACACACTCCCCCACTTGTTTGACTTTAATAGAATATACTAAAAATAAAGTCAATGCTTAAAAATTCTAGAGACTGGTGCAGACTCTGGTTTGCCTGTCTGCTGACTTAGAGTCTTCTTAGAAATTCTAAAAACCCTCTCCTTTGTCAAAGACTTTCTTCCATCTTAAAAACTTTTCCTTCCGTTATTAACATAATTTTCTGTCTTGCTTACTTCAGATTTCTCCAAACTATGCTTTAGGAGAGAGGCCTTCCCTCTCTATTCTATCCACAACAGGAAGCTGTCTTACCCCTAAGATAACCCTTTAAATTATATGTATATATATAAATTAAATATTAACATATATGTGTTGTAATATTATGATATCTATATAACATAAAAGGTGACATATCTGTTTTAATTTACTTCCAGCTTTAGATTTTTAAAGCCAAATATATAACATATGCCACAGCAATGAAGGTTATAGATCGATAAATATTTTTAGGATTATCCTCTGAAGTATTGAGTCAATCAGTATTTTCAGGGATAAATTTGAAATATATTGATTTTAGTAAGCACCCCCAAAATTTTCACACACTTGAAATTTGAAAAGACCTGACTAAGCTCTTAAGACTAAAATCCTAGAATCTCTCTCTCTACCACACACACCTCTTTGAATTTAACAGAACATTCTAAAAATAAAGTCAGTTCTTAGTAATTTTAAAAACTGGTTTAGACTAGAAAGATGTAGTAAAGCCAGGGCCTGGTTAGAATATTGAATCTTACCCATAATATTCACACTGGAATTTTTTTTCCAGATTTCTATCTTCTGGCTTCCAAGTCTTAATCAGAGCAAACTAGGAAGATAGTATGAGAAACCAGCGAGGTTACTAAGTATGAAGGTCTTTAATGCCATGACTGCTAATCTTTCTCTCTGAATAGCTCAATTCCTTCTTAAAGGGGCTTTATACAGACAATGCTGAAGCCAAGGAAATTGCAGGTACATTATTTTCCTGGGATTGTCACTCGCTATTGCTCACACA
This sequence comes from Homo sapiens, assembly GCF_000001405.40. NCBI lineage: Eukaryota > Metazoa > Chordata > Mammalia > Primates > Hominidae > Homo > Homo sapiens. The sequence goes on along the minus strand of NC_000013.11, from coordinate 69,152,806 downwards.
AAATGTTTGATTAGCACTAGTGAAAGCTTTTATCTATTCATGAATCCATCTATCCATTCATGTATCTATCCTTCCAATCATTTAGCCACTCATGTACCCATTGATGTATCTATGAATCCATGCATTCATACATTTAGTCACATATTATTCTTAATGTCTGATTCACAGCCAATTTCAATCCAATTTCCATGATTAATATTTTTTCTTTTTGCTATTGATTGCTATCTTCTATCTTCTGGATTTCCATTTCCTGTGCACTTCCTAATTCATGTAGACATACATGTTTTCTTGGACAAAGGTATGTTAAATATCCTTAACAACATAGGATGCTTCCCTGACCAATACTACATGAAAGAAGGAAACAATTAGTATTCTGCTGTAGGTGGATTACTGTATTTTTTTCTAGGAATTCCTAAGTGTAAGTTAATATTGTCAAAACATACTGTGAACATTTACAAATTCTGAATTATAGCATGATTACTATTTTTTGGAGCGATTAATCTTCTCATCCCTCATGCTTCAATCCTAAAGTGGTAATTTCACTGTATGTCTGTGGGATTTCTGTTGAAGATGTTATCCAATTATAAAGTATTTGGAGAGAAGCTTTGAAAATAGAATATGTAAAAAAGTTTCCCAAATTTTCAACTTAATAAAAATATATCTCACATTTGGAATATGTTTGATAACTTGCTAAAATTTAGTCATGGTTTAAAATTTCACAACTTAAAATGTAGTCATGATTTAAAATTTCATAGTTACTAGAATATTGTCAGAAGATCCAATAAAATAAAGTTGATATACAAGTAAATATTTTTTAATAAATTTATATCTAATTATAAAATGTGTGCATTAAATGTGTCTACTTCAGCCATATGTCTATCAATTTGAAAATAGTAAGTATTTTCATTTATTTGAGAACAGAAATCTTAAAAAAAGAATAAGAAAAGCACAGAAAGTTGGAGGAAAGGATTGGATACAAAACAAAATATATTACAGTAATTGAAATTTAACATAATCATACTTGTGTGAAAAAAAAGTTTGGCACTCTATTGAAATGAGTTTGGTGTCTCACCCCACAGCGATGTGGATCCTAATAGGCAGGGTGGGAGAGGGGGTGGCTCTTACTCCCCATATCAAGGGGGGGCCTCCCCCGGCTATTACGACCCACATCGCAGGGGGGTGAGGCACCCCCCGAGATATGGGGAGTAGGAGCCACCCCCTCTCCCCTGCTGGCTATTACGATCCTTGGACAAGATTAAGTTTGGCCAGATATAAAATTTTTGGAGTTTGTAAAAGAAATCAGAAAGTTTAGGGGCATGTCCCACACTTACAAGTGCAGTTGTTCAGAACAGCAAAGAAGTCAGTTTCTCTCTCAAGAATTCTCTTTCAACACCGGCTGTCAAGCAAATCTTATTTACTTAGATTGGATTATAAGATAAATTGAGATATATTTTTAATCTCTTCACTTTTATTGTTTAATAACTATGATGTAGTCACAAAACTTTGCTATGAAAGTATTGAAAAAACATTATAGCATATGATTTTCAGTATAAAATATTTAATAGTTAGAAGTATAATTTACTGATAAAAAGAACAAATGAACTTACTTTCCAGAGAATGACACCAAGTGTAATAGTATAGAACTATAAAATCTTTAAAGGTAATTTTATGCTAAAATAAATAAGAGGTTCGTATATCACAAATTAGAATAAAAATCAGTTTTAGGAAAAATATTTTATTTAAATTAATATTACATTAATATTAAATATTTTTGTATTAAGTCATTCAATTCATTTTAAGAATAATTAAGGTAATATTTAAATTAAGGCAAATATTTACTGAATAGTTGTTTCAATGTTATAATTATACAATTTTCTATTTAAATTTATAACTAATTATACGTGAATATACACTAATAATCTGGCATTTAATTAAACATTTATTTTCACAATACTGTGATGTTAGGGGCTGAATAAAATTACCTTTTTCTTCTCCATCTGAATTTAAAACAAATTGTAATAGAAGAAAAATAAATAAAAAGCAAATAATTAGCTTTACCAAAGATAAAACGTATCAGAAAATATAATTTTAAATCTGAGATTGTAAATCCTCACCAATAACTTATCAATGTCATTGCTTTTAGATTAACCCTCCCATAAGGAATATTGTATCTTTGTTGTGCAGTATATATGTAGGTTTGTACTTCAATGATGATAATGCTGGTGGTAGTGTTGGGGATTATGCTAGTGGTATTGAATAATTAGATTGGTAGTAGAGAACAGTGAGTGCCAAGAGATATTTGATGTGTTAGTGTTAAGAAAATTTCATAAAGTTAAAATCAGATACCCTGGATTAAACTTGAACTTAACTACTAAAAAACTGAAGGTGAAATAAATTAGGGACACAAACTAGAAAATTTAGCGGTTATTTTTGCTTAGCTAAAATGTCTACATAAGGCAAAGAAAACACATCTCTTGTGATTCATGATTTGTAATTTTCATAATTTACATTAGTAACTATTTGTAACCCAGTTGCTTTTTGAGATTACAAAACGATACTTCAATATAACCAGTAACAGTGTGTACAACACCTACAAACAGAGGTTAAAATATAGTGAAATATTTAGAATTTTTTGACTAAATTAAAAGATATATAAATATTTTAGGTTTGGAGTTTTAAAAGAAGCTCGTTTTTACTTTTTAGAAAACTAACGCATAAGCTATGACAATAATTTCACTATGTGTGCTTTGCATTCCAGGATAGCCTTTTGTGTCAAAAAGCAGCAAGATAGGAATTAATGCTAAAACAGAAATAGAAAAAAAAAGATCAGCATCAGAACTATGAAATATTTACTGATAAGTGTACAACTAGACTGATGGTGTGTGTCTTTCCTGGTTAGTGTCAATAAAATGAGGACATTGCTGAAAGCTAAGACTTGTCAATGGATAAGAAACATGGTAACCTACTGCATACAGTTCTATAAGAGTTTGGTCTGTAAAAGTGGCTAATTGCATGGAAAATGTGTGCTCGTTTACGTTATCTTTAGAATTTTTTTTTTTTTTTTTGAGACAAAGTTTCACTCTTGTTGTCCAGGCTGGAGCACAATAGCACGATCTCGGCTCACTGCAACCGCCGCCTCCCTGGTTCAAGAGATTCTCCTGCCTCAGCCTCCAGAGTAGCTGGGATTACAGGCAACCACCACCACACCCAGCTAATTTTTGTATATTTAGTAGAGACAGGGTTTTACCATGTTGACCTGGCTGGTCTTGAACTTCTGACCTCGGTGATCCACCCGCCTCTGCCTCCCAAAGTGCTGGGATTACAGGCACGAGCCACGGTGCCTGGCCTCATCTTTAGAATTTTAACTGCATTTTTATGCTTTCTATTTTCTCCTAGAAAAAAAGGTTTTATTTTGTAAACATTTACCTCACTTTCTGTCATTATTCAAATATTTCTTAAGAATTAAAGGTTGAAAATAAGGTTCATATTTTAGATACCAGCTCCAACTAAAAGTCATATATATGCAAAGCAAGAAGTCAGTAATGAAAATACAGATTTTCTGCGTAAAAATATGATTTAATTATCTTTCTTCGCCTTTATACCCCATCCATTAAGCTGCTAATTTTCCTGAATGTTTTATCTCAGGACCACAGCAGACTCAATATTCCCTTACCCAGACTTTGTATTGGACTGCCATTCTTGAACTCCACCTGCTCTCAGCATTCTCAGCAGTTAAAAATGTGCACCTCTTCAGAAAAATTCCTTTTTTGAAACTTTTCAAATTAAATGGCATAGTTTCATTCCACTCAACTAGTAAATTTTACATAAGGAAGCAGTAAATAGAAGAGAGCAAAAGTTATGTTGTGGTTATGGACTGTGCTTGTACATTCACATTGTAAAATCCTCAAACCTATTAATTTACACATAACTTGTTTAACTCCTAAATTAACAGGCCCCATCCTAAGCACACTAAATCAGATAGAGATACAGATGTAAATATAGATACATGTACTCATTCATTATTCATCCCTGAAAAATCTCTGTAACTCTTGCAGCCTTTTCTGTGACAAAAATTATCAATTTCTTTCAAGACCCGTCCACTTAATAATAGAGCTATTAAATATAAGCCTTATATCTGAGAGTTAAACTATGTTTCCTACAATGCTTCTAATGTTCTTTGGTATGCAATTGTCCCTTGCTATCGTGCTGTGGTCTGACTGTCCCTCCCAAATTTATATATTGAAATCCTAATCTCCAAAGTAATGATTTCAGAAAGTAAGACCTTTGGGGAAGTGCAGCCTTCATGAATTGGATTAATGACTTTATAAAAGAGACGCAGGAGAGCTAGCTAGTCCATTCCACCATGTGAGAACACAGCGAGAAGGTGCTATTGAGGAATAGGCACTCATTAGACACTGAATCTGCCAGCACTTCGATGTTGGATTTCTCAGCCTCCAGAACTTAAGAAATCAATGTTTTTTGGTTATAAGCCAACCAATTTATGGTATTTTGCAATAGCAGCTCCAGCAGATACCTCATATATGTATCATATAAAATACCTATTATGTATGTATAAGTTATCCTTATATAAGTATATAACTATTTAAGTTATATAACGTATTCACATGCTGTGTTATATTTATATTAGCTATATGATGCATATTTATATCTTATATAAGTTTATATGTTATATTACAATATGTTCATGTAATATATGTATATATGCAATACATATCCATATCATACTTAGGAATAGAAAATATTTAAGTGTCCTTGCAGGCATTAATAATCCCCTTCAACAATTTTCATGTTTTTCCTATAAAAATCTTAAATGCTTTTAATATCTAAAATTAATGTAAATTCTCAAAACACCATGTATTTGCCCTACGTGAAATATAATCTTTCCTATTATAGGAGGAACAAATGTATAATATTTCTATTGATACTCATTGTGAAAAACTTAATATGTCTGTGGCAAATAACTTACCTATACTATCATACCCTTCAATCTCAGCGAAAAATTAGAGCTAAAAAGCATGTAGTCCAATTTCATTTCCTATGCATACATTTTCTTTTGATTATTCCCGGTAAGTATGAGCCAATCACCCTTAAACATTTCAGGGACTATCCTGTTATAAAATGGAATGAATGCATGCTTTAGAATCATTGTCACCTGTGCTTCAATTCTAGCTCTCTCACTTATTGACTGGGGGTTTCAGGAAATTTATTGATCATGAAGAATCTTCAATATTCACTTGAAAATAATAATACCCAAAATATAGAATGTATTGGTTACTAAATGAGATAAAAGGGATAAAGTTATGATATTATTCCTGGAGCTCAAGTAACTGTTGCCTTTCTTCTTTTGTCAACAATTTACTAATAAGTGGAAAATAATAATCTTTTTAGGTGTTCCGCACATTCCAGTCATGAATTCAAACACTATCGTGATAAAGTGTAGTTACATTTAATAACTCATGTTTGCTTCCCTTGGGTCACTAATTATTAAATCCACTGCTTCCAATGGAGGTCATAGTTTTCTTCCTATCCCTGTTCTTCTACCACAGTCAAATGTCTACCTGAGATTAAAACAGCTGTCCTCTATGCAAAATTAAAATCACTACACTAATTATAAAAACAATGAATGAAAGTGAAATAATTTTTTCTTATTACTTACAAGCCAGTTCTTAATTCATATTGATACTATTTTAAATAAGTAAAGCTGTAAATATTGCAAACAAGTGTCTCAAAGAATAATGAGAAATTTAGATTGTTATGCATAATTTGAAAGATATTACATATCTTATATATATAACATATATTACATACATACTGTATATAAAACATATACCACATCTAATACAGAGATATCTTGGCTACCTTTCACACCGTTTCCCCCAAGGGAAACATTTTTTAAAACTGTAGTACAGTATCACAACGAGGGTATTGACATTGATACAGTCAGTGCTCAACAGTCTGATAATCTATTGTGGAAAGAGCTATTGTATTGCCTTTTTATAGCCACAACAACTTCACTCTCCCTCCATTCCTGACACTTGGAAATCTACATCCCATTGGTATATTACTACAATTTTAATAATACTATACATATGCAGATATATTATATTATTATTAGTATTAGTGAGCAACGCTTGGGATTGGCTGTTTTCATTCAGTGTAATCTGAAAATTCATTCATTATGTATATTAACAGTTTATTAATTTTTATTGTTGAGGACTATTACATAACGTAGATATTATAGTTTTTGTAACTCTTTATCTGTTGTAGGACATCTTTGTTTTTTTCTGCTATGAACATTTCTGTACATTTTTTGTGTGTGTGAACGTAAGTTTTCATTTCTTTGGAAAAATGCCAAGGAGTGCAATTGCTAGGTTGTGTGGTTGTTGCATGTTTAAGTTGACAACGAATTTTTAGACTGTTTTGCAGAGTAGCTGCACTATTTTATGTTGCCATCAGCAATGTAGAATCAACTCAGTTTCTCTCCATCCTCCCCAGCATTTGATGTTGTCACTATTTTTATTTTAGGCATTGTTGTAAGTGTGTATTGTTATCTCACTGGAATTTTACTTTTTATTTCCTTTATGGCTAACAACGTTGGATATTTTTTTCATGGAGTTGTTTGCTTTGCCACTTATATATCCACTTTGGTAAAATATACGTTTATAATTTTTCCTTTTTTCTTAGTGTTTTGCTTATGTTTTCACTGTTCAGTTTTGAGAATTCTTTATATCTTCTGGATTACTAGTTGTTTGTCAAGTATCTGGTTTTCAGATATTTATTCCCAATGTCTTCTTTTAGATTTATTTTATTGAGTATATTTGAGGTATACAACATTGTATATTGCTATGGACAGATATAGGAAAATGCTACAGTCAAATTTACATATCTGTCATCTTTTATAGTTATTGTGTGCATATGTATGTGTGTTAAAAGCACCTAAAATCTACTGTCAGCATATTTTCAGTATTCATTACAATAACATTATTTTTAAATTATTCATTTATTTATTTTCATAGATTTTTTTGGGGAGCGGATGGTGTTTGGTTACATGAGTAAGTTCTTTAGTGGTGATTTGTGAGATTTTGGTGCACCCATCACCCAAGCAGTATACACTGAACCCAATTTGTAGTCTCTTATCCCTCACCCACCTCCCACCCTTTCCCCCAAGTCCGCGAAGTCCATTGGTAATTATAGTCCTAATGCCGTACATTAGATTTCTAGACTTACTTATCTTACCTAACTGAAAATTTGTATTCTGTAACCTACTTTTGCCTATGTCCTTCCCCCCCACTTTTTTCCCACTCATGGTAAACCACAGTTCTAATCTATTTCTATTTATTCTACCTTTTTTAAGATTTTGCATATAAATGAGATCACCTGTCTTTTCATCCTCTAAAGAGGCTTTTCACAAAGCAAAAATGTTTCCTTTTGATAAAGTCTAGTTTATTAATTTTTTCTTTATTGGCGCATACTCTTGATGTCAAGTCTAAGAACTCTTTGTCTAGCTCTAGGTCATTTTACTTTCTGACTTTTTTCTAAAAATTTTAATATTTTTATATTTTTAGCATAAGCCCATGATATATTGAGTTAATATTTTTATAAGGTGTCAGATTTATATTGTTTCATTTTGTTTTTCTTCCTGTTAATATCTAAGTGTTAAAGCACCATTCATTGAAAAGGCTGTCCTTTCTTCATTGAATTAATATCACTTGATTTTTAAGTGACGTTTTAATTATGAGTGATTTCTAAATATAGTAAAAATCCATTTTCAGAAATATAGGACTAGATTTCAGTATCTCTCATCAAGTTTTTTTATAATTAAAATTTATCTTACTTTTTTAACCCATGAATACCTAGGCACCATCCAAAGCCCACATAATCAATTTTTTCTTCTGGGAAGAAGAGTATTGAATAAATAGCCCAAGACAATTTTTACTATAAAAAATTTAAAACCATTACATTAATATTTTTTCAATTTTTCAAGGAAATATTATTTCAGTGAAAGTTAAAAAAGCAAAAGGGACTAATTACCTAATTTGTGATTATTTTGTATTTTTTTTTTTTTTGCTCTGTCACCCAGGCTGGAGTGCGGTGGTGTGATCTCGGCTCACTGCAACCTCCGACTCTGGGGTTCAAGCAATTCTCCTATATCAGCTTCCCGTGTAGCTGGGATTACAGGTGCCCGCATCCAGCTACTTTTTGTATTTTTGTGAAGACAGGGTTTCGCCACATATGCCAGGCTAGTCTTGAACTCCTGACCCCAAGTGATCCACCCACCTCGGTCTCCCGAAGTGCTGGGATTACAGGCATGAGCCACTGCACCCAGCCATTTGTTTCATAAATGTATAAATTATGTTATGTAAGTTTATTGTATTTTCTTTGGCTTTTCAATCTAGTGTTCTAATACAATCTTTGCAAATACTAATCTGGTATGGGTATACTGGTATCAAACTCTAATAACAAGTAATATAATGAGAAGAATATAGAACATTTAAGTAATTATTTTTATGTATAGTTTCTGTATAATAAATTGTCTTTATTCTAAAAACATATTATTCATATTTGACGGTAAAATTTTATTAAAATTTTCATTTTTTTATTAAAAATTTATTTTTCAAGTTATCTTAATTGCAGAAGGCCTTTGGAACATATTGTCATTAATGTTCTTATGGGAGATTAAAATGTTTAGAAAAACACATAGAAAACTATTTTTTTTTTAAATCTACACATATATTACTTTTAGAAGTCTGGGAACAACTTCTTACCAATAGTTAATAAGAAACAATTGGGAATTTAAGTGAAAAATAAGTTGTCAGGTTTGATTTTTAATTGGAAATCTCAAATCTCTGAAATTTTTGAAGAATAAAAGTCTTACTTTACGTAGACGAGTAATATCATGAAACTAATCTAAGAACTAATGTTCAAGTCCATTCACTATAGATTCCTAAGGCTAACTACTTACTTCATTTAAAATGAGTGACTACTTAAAATTAGTAACTACTTACTTCACTTAAATTTACTTAATACCTTTATTCATTACATTTGCTACATTAATTCTCTCATAGAAATGGAATACAAGCTGGAGACAAACTGACCTGACCATTTATATCCTGTGTGCAGCAAGTGTTAGGTGCTACAAAATGGATGAATTATTCCATGTCTAAATGCTATCTAAGCCTAACTTTATAACCAGATCTATTGAAGTAAGCACACATTAACATCTCAAATGGATTTTTTCAAACTCCATAGACAATAATGTACAATGATAACAAAATCAGAAAGAAAAAAACTTGACATTGTAAAATGTTTGCAATAACTGAAGACATAAAAATTAAAAAAAACATTTTTTCCACAGCACAATCTATATACATTAATATTTTGTAAATAATTCTATTTCAACAAATATAAAATACATAATACTTATAAGAATAAGCAATGCATCACAGTGTATATCATATATTATATGTTCATTATAATATTTTTTCTGGTAAAAATAGATATATTAAATAATCTACTTAAAAGGTGACATATTGTAATGAAATGTCAGAAAAGAAAAAATGGAAAAAAGTATTTACTTTTTTCTGCTCCTGTAAAATATGAAAGAAACTACAACTTTGAGGATCATAAATGTATACATCTGCAAGGTGTTGTTTCAAGTTGGTCTTTATTGGTTAAGGAGCTGTTGTAACTAATAAAATCAATATCTCAATAATTTAACAAAAGAAACATTTATTTATGCCTCCCATAGAATATGATTGGTATTGGGGTGGGAGTGGTGAATTCAGGCTGACAATGAAATTTAACTAGCACTGCTCACATTTCTCTTGTCACATTAGCTGGCAATTGAGAAGGAAAAGGTTTTTACTGATCATCCCAGAACTAATAAATACATTCTATCAGCGGTCATTAGCTATGGCTCTGTCATATTACCACCTTCATCTGCAAGAGAGACAGAAATGGAGCCTAGCTCTGACCTCAGAAGGAAAGTGATGTGAGTTTTATCAACAGCTAACTGGTCTCTGCCATATTTGGATATGTATGTTTTTCATGGATGTTAATACTTTGATCCTAAAATTTTAATTTGTATGTAGATTTATATCCAAAGGAAGAAATTTTGTCTCTCAATTACATATAAGAAAAAACTAAAATCACTTTGATAATGAACTACTAAGGAAATCCATAAAATGTTTAAGATCTCTAAAGAATGTGAAAATAACACAGATTATTGTTTTGGTATAGCTGAACTTTCTCATTAAAGATATTATGAGATTCATGATATGACTTGCCCAGGGGGAAAAAAATGGGCTAGTCTATTCATATAGCCAGAAATGTATTCTTGTTTTGATGGTACATGGGTTTAAAACTCCAGTCTTAGAAATTGTGTGATGCAACCTCCTTATGTTATAGGTCCGAGAGCTGAAGTTTAAGTGACAGGCCAACTGCAAACTGGCAGAAAGGAAATAAACACACTGTCTATAGCCCTTCAGTCGTTTTTTCCATTGCTTCACATTATCTCACAACGTGAATGTTATTATGTTGTGAACTGTGGAGAATACAAAACAGACACAACAGATTGTACATTTTCACTGTACCAGATAAAATATAAAAGTCCAATGAGTCTGGAAACAACAGATGCTGGCAAGAATGTGGAGAAATAGGAATGCTTTTACACATTGGTAGGAGTGTAAATTAGTTCAACCATTGTGGAAGACAGTGTGGCGATTCCTCAAGGATCTAGAACCAAAAATACCATTGGCCCCAGCAGCAATCCCATTACTGGGTATATATCCAAAGGATTATAAATCATTCTAATATAAAGACACATGCATGTTTATTGCAGCACTATTTACAATAGCAAAGACTTGGAACCAACCCAAATGCCCATCAGTGATAAACTGGATACATATACACCATGGAATACTATGCAGCCATAAAAAAAATGAGTTCACGTCCTTTGCAGGGACATGGATGAATCTGGAAACCATCATTCTTAGCAAACTAACACAGGAACAGAAAACCAAACACCACATGTTCTCACTCATAAATGGGAGTTTAACAATGAGAACACATGGACACAGGGAGGGGAACATCACACTGGGCTTGTCAGGGATTGGGGGGCAAGGGGAGGGAGAGCATTAGGACAAATACCTAATGCAAGCGGATTTCAAAACCTAGATGATGGGTTGATAGGTGCAGCAAAACACCATGGCACAAGTATACCTATGTAACAAACCTGCATGTTCTGCACATGTATCCAAGAACTTAAAGTAAAATTTTAAAAAGACCAATGAATATTAAATTCAAGTTATTTTCCAACATAAATATGTTTTTATCAGTTATTTTTATTCATGTATTTAAAAATATTCCTGACACAAACTGAATACCTGAAGAATGGTATATTACACAGAGGATAATTGAATACTCTCACATACTGAATTCACACAGTCAACATTTTATAATCATTCATGCTCATCGTTAGTGTAAATAAAATGTCAGTGAATTAAGTGAACCTCCTCTATTACAATTCTTTTTTATATTTAGTTTGTACCAGGATTTATTGAACTTGAATGGCACTTAATGTGTTATTTTTTTCTCTTTAACCTTAGCTTACAAAATATATTTGTCTTCTCAGCATTCTATTTAATAAAGCACTATAAATTATAGTTATTTAGAGGATTAAAATTCTGCAAATTATCCTGGAGATCAAGAAATGGACATTTTGGCAAAGAGGAAAGGGGACTCATTTCTAACTCCTTACATTCAAAGTATTTGTGATATTGGAAGAAGTATCAAACAAGTACATACTTGCTACCTATTAATATAGACCTTTAATAATAAAGCATACAGTTGTTAAACATTTAATACTTACATAGTAGGTTCTGGAGACACAAAGGTTAATAAGAACACCACTCAGCCTACTGATAGATCATAGTTCAGAAGACAAACATAACTCTAAGTTCAAGTGAACAGTATTACAACTAGAGGTGCGTATGTTATGGTGTGGAGAAAGAACAGTGAGAGACTGCTTGATGAACTGAGGAAAGCTTTGCAAAGGGTATGAAATTTTTTAAAGGCCTTGAAGTCTGAATAGAAGTTCAGCATAAGAAAGGAGGGATGACATAGTGTACAAAAAGAATTTCATGGACAAGATGGTGCAAAGATGGAAAAAAAATCTTCAAAAACAGACTATCAAACTGTAATGTCAGGTTATAGAGAAACATGAAAGAAAAGTGCCCAGGTTTTGAAGTCCAGAACCAAACAATGCACACACCATGTTGGATTATATTCCTTTAGCAAGAACTGAGTCACAAATGGCCATACTTAATAAGGACGGGTTTCATGATCATATGCCCTATGCCGTTGCACAGGGATCCATCCATAAAAGGGCCCCATGCTTGTTTCAATTCTATGCTCTTGATATTTTAAGTTTTATATTGTTTTTGATCAAGGGGCCTCATGCTTTCATTTTGCACTGGGCCCTGCAACTCATGTGGCTGGTTCTGCTCCTAAAAGCAGGGGAGGCTGGCCAACCTATTCTGGCCATGTGCCATTAAGAAAGGTATATTTGCTTTCCATGGCTATATAGCAGGCATTGCCATGGTAAGTATGACAAGGCAGTTCCAGTTCCAGGTAATCAGTCAGAGATTATGTGACATGCTTATTACAATAAGATGATTCTGATTCTAAGGGCATTGGTATTTTTTCCTTCTTAAAACTGAGTTAGTATAACTTATTCCACAGATATAAATGTAAAACTTGAAAATATTGTCAGAAAAGAGTAACACATTTGTGATTTACCTTTTTTTAATTTGTATTATTATGTTTTCCCTGAGAAAACTGTCCAAAAGGGATGCACTAAGCAAAAATAAAAAGGAATTTACTAATCTAGAAACAGTTGTTGTCTGAGAGCCACCTTGTTAGGCAGCTTTACCAAAAGTGAAATAAATTGAAATGTAATTCCTGTTTAAAGAGTCAACTAATGTAATCACATAATAACAAATAAGAAAATGGAGCTTGCCTTAAGAAATAAGACTTCAGTAAATAAGAAACAAATTGGAAAAGAGAACTATTATTCTGTGTTTACATGTGAGAGTATTGGAAAGATTATCCCTAATCAGCTTGATGAGCTAATCAGGAGGTTTAATTAAAAGCCAAACCATCAAGTAAACATTTCAACAACAACAACACAACAAAAAGTAAAATAAAGAATTAAAATATGATTAAGAAGCCCAAACAAACAAACACAAGGCTTTAGGTACAGAGTGCCTTTGGTTGTTGCTGAAAGTTAGAGTTGTATTTTAAAGTAACCAATGTGGGAAAACAAACATTTGTGACTGGGCTTAGAAGTAGAGTTAGGAATTTAAGTTTGAAGATTAAAGAAAAAAAAAAAAGAAAAAACGAGAGAGAGAAAGAGAAGAGATTGGGAAAAGAAAAGAATAAAAGTGACTACCTCTAGCTATTTTCAGCTTTGCAAAAACTTTCAACAGCACGCCATGCATTGTTAAAACCAATGGTCTCATTGAGGATGGGTGCTCTGTTACACAGAAATGACTTGCTTTGGCAAACAAGATGTTAGCAAATATGACACAAGCTGAGTCTGGAAAAACAATTGCACAGTAGGGCTTGCTCTTCAGCTCATTTTGTCCTTCTATCTAACCACCAAAATATGCCCCTGGTAGCAAGCTAGAGAATAAAATGTGTGGAGCAGAGCTAGTATGGAGCAGAGCTGGTGGAGAGCTGAGTTATCCCATATGAGGATATTCTATACTAACCTGCCCTCTCATCACAAATGTGTGAATCATGTTAGCAAAGAGCAGTCAAGTCTGGCCCAGGTCAGCAAACACAATGAATGAAACTGAGACTTATGAGAAATAATAGAGTTGTTATAAACATATGTTGTTATTATTATTAATATAATATATAATGTATTTTAACATGTATATAACAATAGTGATATTAAATATGAAAGTAAATTATGTTAGGTTTAAGCAGGAAATGACTTCAATTTCAGCCGTTAATTCATATTGTACCCTTGCCTGAGAAAATCAAACACAAATCAAATTATTGGCATTTGTTTAACAAATAATAATTTAGAAGCTCCTCTCTCTTTCTCTCTCTGTCTCTTTCTCTTTCTCTGTCTCTCTCTCTTTCTGTTCTTCTTTCTCCTTCCCAAAATACTCATAAATAGTTTATTCTACATAGCAGAACAATCTATGGTCTGCATTCTTCTTTGTGCTTCTAACTTTAGAATAAATTTTAATTTGCAGGGATATTGATTATTGAACTGTCCCAGAGGACATCACACTTTTCCAAACAGTGATCTTATGCTGGTAAGGAATGCAAAAAGCAAAATTTCATTCTATGAAATTCTCTGAGATGCCATAAAAATAAATAGGTATTTTACTCAGTGAATATTTTTGGAGACCCAGTGATCTGGATATATTGAGATATCCCTGCGAAAAGTAAAAATAAGTTGTTCTATATAGAATCTCCTTCAGTTCAGAAAGAAAGGACAATGCAAATAAAGCCACTCTTTTTTCCCAGTTAGTGCATCTGTATTTTGAACAATATAAACACTTGCGTTGTTTAAGGATTAGTATGGTTTAATCTGTATTTTAATGTTAGCACAAAATAGTATGATCAAGATAAAAGTAAAAAGATTTGTAATGTTTAAATATTATTGCCTCTGTGCTGCCATGTTCTATTTCCACTAATACCTGTACACTACTGCTACCTAGTTGATTTTAGAAAAAAGTAAGTCCCATTTAGATGTATTGCATGCCGAGTTACTAACAAGCTTCCATTTTTACTTTTGATGAAAAGGTTTGTTGTATGGTCTCGAATTGGAAATAGGCAGCTCTGCCACTTCACTTTAAAAAGCAATAGATCTCGTGGTGGGGAAAGCATGTGTGGCAGATCAGGAGGTTTCAAGTGCCCTTTGAGAAGCCTAGCTAGGATAATAAGAAGGAAGGCTACCATGTTTTGATAGCAAAGACATAGCAGAAAACATTCTACTTTTGACAAACATTCTTTAGTATATAGGTCCAGATAGAGACAAAATGTCTAACCATAGGACACCAAATGACAATGTAACACTGAGATGCCCATAATTATCTGATTCACTTTTCCATATCATTTGACCTAACAATTGTTAAAAAATGAAAGTGATTCATTCAGGATAATTTTTTAAAGGCAAAAATAAGTTATGTAAGTAGAGATTTTACACTGAAACTCAAGAAATCCAACAAAGAAACATATTATGTTTAAGAATGCTGACATTGGCCGGATGCAGTGGCTCACGCCTGTAATCCCAGCACTTTGGGAGGCCGAGGCAGATGGATCACCTGAGGTCAGGAGTTTGAGACCAGCCTGGCCAACATGGTGAAACCCCGTCTCTACTAAAAATACAAAAATTAGCCAGCCGTGGTGGCAGTTACCTGTAATCCCAGCTACTCGGGAAGCTAAGGCAGGAGAATTGCTTGAGCCCAGGAGGCAGAGGTTGCAGTGAGCCGAGATCACACCACTGACCTCCAGCCTGGACGACAGAGCAAGACACTGTCAAAAAAAAAAAAAAAAAAAAAGAATGCTAACATAAATAAATGATTACCTCAACTACAGGGTTTTTGTCTTTCAGGAATAAAGTTTTGGGCTGCACCAGGAAGTAGAAAACCCATCAGTATTGGCTTAGAGTAAGTGAATACTGAGTTATCATAAATGCCAACTATGTCTTGAGACCATTTGGAGACACTAGTATTCAAGTATCTACTCACCTACTTGAATAGTTTTTCTTGATATAGTTAAAGAAATACTTTAGTATATAATTATAAATATATATGAATGGCGTAAGTATTTAAAGTTTTTTCTATACCAATTTATATCCTTTTTGTGGTAGTTAACTTTAAAATTTAAGCTGTGAGTTAAATAAAGATTGTGAGAATACCAAGAAAAAAAATCAAAAGAAGAATGGATATGATCCAGAGAGGGTGGATTTAGATCTACACATAGCAACTGCTAATGTTTTAAAATACTTCCTCTCAAATTTTAAATAGAAAATTAGGGTGTTTTTATATATACAGATTATTATTTCATTATGGTATAGAAGGCACTTGCTATAAGTATAATTATGATTCAATATTGTTTATAATTATGATCTAAAATGTGTATTGATGTTACACAGTGAGCACACTTTATTTGAAAAGAATGGTCTGTCTTCGTAGCTGCCTAGCAATTGCTAACATGTTCACATGTTGGAGAAATTCCTTATGCCCTAAGCCCGAGACTTTCCACAGTAGAATCAAGGACATCCGTTCCCCATTGCTATTGTCAGAATGTTTGTGCCTCTCATCCCCCAAAATATATAAGCTGAAATACTACCATTAAGGTTTTGGGAGGCAATTAGGTAATCAGGACAAAGCCATCATTGGTAGGATTAGTAATTGTATATATTAAAAAAAAAAGCAAAGCTTTTTCATCACTCTTGCTATGTGAGACTATAGTGAGAATATGAATTGGGTCACGGACGTAATCAGACATCCAATCTGCCCATACCTTGATTTTGCACTTCTCAGACTCCAGAACTGTGAGAAGTAATTTTCTGTTGTTTATAAGTCACTCGGTCTATAGTAGTTTGCTATAGAGGCCCAAACAACTAAGACACCCATCCACCTTTGAATATAGACAAAAGGCAAATGGCATCTGTTCTAACAATAAAACACAATTATGAAAGCACAATCATGAAACTTCTTTTTAATAGCTAGTAATATAAGAAAGAAGAATTTGCACAGAATCCTTTCTAAGAAGGGCGGTACCAGAGACCTCTTGTCTTCAGAGAGAGTATTGGCTGTCCAGTACTCTCTCTGAAATGTTAGTGATGCCATCCAGTAACAAATGATAATTATGCAAGCTGTGGTGTTTATATTAACAGGTTGATAGTCCTATAGAAAATTATATTTAGATATTATTCTTTGCTACTAGGCATCTAAGGCTTAGTCACAGTCTGTCTCAGAGATTCAGTGAACTACCTAAAATCATTTAAGAAATTACTTATCTGACACTACTAAGAATGGCTATTATTAAAAAGTGAAAAAATAATGTGCTGGCAAGGTAGCAGAGAAAAAGAAATGCTCATACATTGTTGATGAGAGTGTAAATTTGTTCAACCATCTTGGGAAAAACTGTGGACATTCCTCAGAGATGTAAAAACAGAACTACCATTTGACCCAGCAATACTATTACTGGCTGTATACCCCAAAGAATTTAAATCATTCTATCATGAAGACACATGCACATATATGTTCATTGCAGCACTGTTCACAATAGCAAACACATGGAATCAACCCAAATGCCCATTAATAATAGAAAAGCTAAAGAAAATGTAGTGCATAAACACTATGGAATACTACACAGCCATAAAATAGAACGAGATCATGTCCTTGACGAGACCATGGACGGAGGTGGAGGCCATTATCATTCGAGAACAGAAATTAAATATCATATGTTGTCACTTAAGGTGGGAGCTAAATAATGAGAACACATGGACACATAGAGGGAACAGTAGACATTGAGGCCTAACAGAGGATAGAGGACAGGAGGAGGGAGAGGGTCAGAAAAAATAATTAATGTGTACTAGGCTTAACACCTGGATGATGAAATAATCTGTACAACAAACCCCCATGACACAAATTTACCTATGTAACAAACCCGGACATGTATTCCTGAACTTAAAAGTTGAAAAAAAGAAATGACACATTTGTTACAAATACCTTGAATTTGG
This sequence comes from Homo sapiens, assembly GCF_000001405.40. NCBI lineage: Eukaryota > Metazoa > Chordata > Mammalia > Primates > Hominidae > Homo > Homo sapiens. The sequence continues at coordinate 69,135,012 of NC_000013.11, read as the reverse complement.
TGTTATTTGCAACAAGGAGCCATCGCTGTCTTAGTATACAATGAGTCCACAAAAATGTAATTTTGAAGTAGTAGTAGACATATAAAGAAAAAAAATACAAGTCTATCTACATTTTCTTTTTTTTTTTTTTTTTTTGAGATGGAGTTTCACTTTTGTCACCCAGGCTGGCATGCAATGGCATGATTTTGGTTCACTGAAACCTCCACCTCCTGGGTTCAAGCAATTCTCCTGCCTCAGCCTCCTGAGTAGCTGGGATTACAAGCACCCACTACCACACCCGGCTAATTTTTGTATTTTTAGTAGAGATGGGGTTTCACCATGTTGGCCAAGTAGGTCTTGATCTCCCGACCTCAGGTAACTCACCCTCCTCGGCCTCCCAAAGTGCTGGGAATACAGTGGGGAGCCACTGCACCTGGCAAGTCTATTTATATTTTCTTATCCAAAACTATTGAGGCTAGATATCTTCCTGACATTTATAGATTAAAAAGAGGACAATATGTAGCATTTTGTACTATAATATACCATTGATAGCAAAGTCTAGAAAAGTATGCTGAAATTAAATATATATAATATATGCATATAGGCATAAAACAAATAAATATTCACAGTAAGAGAGAGAAAATTAAATACTAAAAGAACCCTCATATTAATTCAGCTCAGATTTTGATGACAAACCTGTTTGGGTCAGGTTGTTTTTTTCTTACCAAATTTGTAGTGAAAAAGTTTCACTTTATATATTTTTGTGTATTTAAGAATTTTTGATGAGGAATTATTGGACATGTGATTATAAAATTCAACGTATATATTTTCAACTTACAACATGTATGCAAGAAGAAATTACTTTCATCAACATCACTTAATAATGTGTTAATTCAGAACCAGAGGAGTTATCAATATTAGAATTTTATTATAAAATTTTAAAAAGGTAGACCATGTTAGGATATAACTAGATTTTTTTCTATAGTGATCAAGTATGTATCAATGTTTAAATATTTTAAAAATGTATACTCTGTACATGGAATTTTCATCATTTTTACTAGAAAGAACTGTTTATATCAAGAAAAGATTTTGCTCATAAAATACCTTGAATGAATTAATTTTTTAAACTTTTTAGGAGACTGTGAAGAGCATAACTTGCTATATTAGTTGGTGTATAAGGAGAATTATAGCTATGGTATTAGCTACAGTTTAGCTGAAATGGGTCTGCCACATGTGTTCCTTTGGGCTTGAACTGATAATTAAGCATATATTCAAGAAAATTTTATCATGACCACTGAAACACAAGACAACATGCCATGCAAAAATAAATAAGTCAATAAATAAACCCTTGATTATTTAGCATCTACTTAAGTTTTCATTCATCAAGGTAAGTTACGTCCTAACCGAGATATTTAAAAACACTTATAAAACGTTTTATGCACGATATGTACTTTGAGTGTCTACAAAGATGAACGTTCACAGGAGAAAAGAATGGAGATAAAAAAATAGATCATTACAAGTGGTACCTAAAAATAAATTACCAAAATGCAAATTGTTATTGTGCTTACTCTGTGCCAGAACTGTATTAAATGTGAAGATAATGTAATAATCAGAACAACCTTATCTATCCTAATAATATTTTAAAATCTACTGACAAATGCATGTAATATATATGTTAGAAAAAAATCATGACTGAATTGATTCAAAACATTTACAATGTTCTGAGAACATTCAAAAAGGATGAGAACACATAAAGGAGGGAAATAAAATCATACATTTCTTTTTTTAGAGAGCCGTAGATGCACTTTTGGATTTTGAATAATTCACAGACTCCTGTTCAAGTTTCCTGTTCCAGTATAGATTTTACTTCTCTTCCTCTTGTGCGTATTTCCATTCACTGAAGATTTTAAATGGAAGCATGATGTAAATGCACTGTGTTAAATCCCCAATATATTTATCAATAGAGACACATTTCTGGAAATGAAAATATTTTAAAGTAGCTGTATGAATTATAACTAGGAATAATAATTATTTTTTATTTAAAAAAACCCACAAAAGTAGTTGTGTGAACTGAAAATATGCAGTTTCCATGTTTTGTACAATTACAAATCAAGCTACATAAACATTTGATATAGGTGTTTACATAAATGTGTTTGATTAATAAGTGAGCAATGAGCAATAATATTGGTGGTGACATGATAAATGTATGGTTAAATTTAGGTAATACTGCCAAACTATTTTCCAAAGTGGCTATACCAATTTGACTTCCCACAAGCTATGTAAAATTATTCTAGTTTCTCTGCATTCTAACCAGCTCGTGGTATTTATCTTTTCTCCCCCAGCTAATGATGTATAATGAAATCAAATTGTGATTTTAATTTGCATTTCATTGATTTATGATTATTTTATTCTCACTGACTTGACTCACCTCTTATACCTTCTTGGATGAGGTGTCAGCTCAAATCATTTGCCTGATTTTTTTTTGTCTTTTTTTTTTTTTTTTTTTTGAGACGGAGTCTCACCCTTCTGCCAGGCTGGAGTGCAGTAGCACGATCTCAGATCACTACAACCTCTGCCTCCCTTGTTCAAGCGACTCTCCTACCTCAGCCTCTTGAGTAGCGGAGACTACAGGCATGTGCCACCATGCCCAGCTAATTTTTATATTTTTAGTAGAGATGGGGTTTCACCATGTTGGCCAGGATGGTCTCGATCTCTTGACCTCATGATCCACCCACCTCAGCCTCCCAATATTTGCCTGATTTTTATTGAAATGTTTGTTGTTGAGTTTTGATATTTTTAAAAATATGTTTTGGAAGCAAGTCATTTCTCTGATATGTCAACTATAAATATTGTCTCTGATTCTGTGTCTTATATTGTGATTCTCTTAAAAGTGATTTTTGAAGAGTAAAATTTCCTAAATTTTAATAATTCATTTTTATGGCTTTTTTTCTTTTAGAAGTTCTTTTTTGCTATTGTAGCTAATAATTTTGCCTAACTCAAGGTTGCAGGGGTTTTCGCACATTTCTTTTATGTTTTATTAATTTTACATTTTAAATTAAGTTATGTGATTCATCTTGAGTTAATGTTTGTATACAGTGTGAGGTATGGGTGGAGCTTCAGCTTTCTGCACATGGATATCAAATGTTTCCAGCACCATTTGCTGAAAAGAATATCCATTCACCATTGAATTGCATTTACACTTTTGTCAAGAATCTATTGGCTATATTTGTATGGGTCCATTTGTAGATTCTATTTTCTTACACTGATCAATGTGTCTATCCTTGATTACAATAATGATTATTTTGAACTTTTAAAAGAATAAGTTGTTTTTAAGAATTTTTAAAATAAATCTAAATTATTAAACATGTTAATGGAAACAATAATGATAGGTTATTGAATTCTAAAGAACAGTTTCATGAAAAACAATAGAAAAATAAGCTCAATTATGTCAATTTTACCACATAATTATTTTCAAAGATATTTCACTACATGGAAGACATTTCAAAGTGAATTTTTCTATAAATGAAGATACTTATTAAAATTATAAAAATCACTATTCATGTCATTTATTTTAGAATCGACTCAGTCATTCTGGTTCAGATCCATAGGTCAGCTAAAATGGTTACGCCACACGTGCTCATGGAAGGGCTTGAACTGATAGTTAAGCACATATACAAGATAATTTCTTTTCATGATGATTACAAAAACACAAAAGAGCATGAGATACAAAAAAGGATTTTAGCCCCAAATTGTTTAACATTGATTAAAGTTTTCATTCATTAAAGCAGTTACTTGACTGAGCTCAAAGACAGTTTAGGAAGTATGTTCCTACCATGGAAATCAGGTAGAAGGAGTAAATATTTTTAAATTATATTCCAACTACTGTGGTTTTGTATATTTCTTCTGACATGCAAAACATACAAAATCTAAGAACTTAGATAACCATTACTTATGCTCCACATTGAAATATGGAACATGGAACTGTTAGCCTCCCAAGACATATAGAAGTCACAGGACCATAACAATTCTGGATAAATGTTACTAGATGTCCCTACTCTGGGAGGGGAAGAATATTTCTTTATTAGGCAAGCTTTCTATTATCAGAGCTCTTGGCTCTGCCCTCAGGAAGTGTCTTCTTTTGGCATCATGCTCCTCGGCCAATTCTGAATAATTGGTTAAGAATTTAAGAATTAAAAAGAATTAAAGAATTCTCTTTTTGGGGTTTTTGAGATGTCCTCTCAACCTGATGCCTGTCTTTGAAAATTTAAGGCCAAAAGACATTTTATAACCTGCACAGTTTTGTCTTTTGTGATCTGACTAGCAGTATGTCTAAAACATCGTTTTTATAAATGTTTTGGTTTTATAAGTCTTAGATTCCAGTCAATTCCATGTGCCAACAGTCACATCCCCAATTATTTTTAGGATATTTCTCTCTGTAGACTTAATTGCAATCCTTTTGAAATTGAGCAGATCAGCTTGCAGTGAGACCACAATTTTCTTCAAATACTTTTATCTAGCTTAAATCGGTTTATTTGACACTAATTTCTTTCAGAAGTAGTAACTAAATATATTCAAGCAATATACCTAATATGTGTTCTTCCTTATTATATATAATAATAGTCACACTGTATTTGGTGAAAAGCGGTATTATTTTCTAAAACTGTAACTTCTAGATTATATTTGCTCAAAATTCTGTTGCAAACTGGCAAATATTTTTTTCAGCTTACCTCTTTCTAGTAGTAACTATGAAATACAGCTAGTAGCAACCAGTTCATGATTTCCACGTTTTGCCTCAAATTGTCCACTCTACTTTCAAAACACATAGGGGATGATTTATGCCTTTCAAAATATCACAAGCAAAATTTCATCAAATATTTTGGTAGTAAAGAAAATAAGTTGCTATTTTTCTGACTTCCTGTATCAGTTTTCTCACTATAAGCACTTGATCTAAAATTCACTGCCATTTATTCTATTTTTTTTTTCCTCCAAATAGCACTCCTCCCATTCTGGTGTCATTTTTTACATAAACTTAGCTTAAGACTCTCTGCTCCCGAAGTGTTCCTCCTGGATTCTAGGCTTAAGGGCAACAGCTAGTGAGTCACAACTTTTCTCTTAGAAAAGGCAGATGTGCAAGATGACATACCTAACCATACAAGCACACTAAAAGCACTGTCAATGTCACAGCTACTCCAATCCCCATATCAAATAAGTCATATATGATGAATGTACTAGTGAAATTTAACTAATAGAAAACACACTCATATTACAGAGTTCAGGGAGAGGGAGTTACTATTTTTTTAATACTAATGTAATCTAACACAGTCCTTTTAAAAATAATTGAATAAAATGAAGTCATTGACAACAGTTTTTCAAGACAGAAAAGGAAAACACAAAGCGTTCATATGTACTAATAAATTGCCATCTATTTAAGGTGCAACTGCAAGTAATTCTACTTAGCTAGAATAGTAAGGAAGATGGTAAGAGAGAGTGAGAGTGGGGTTGGGGGTGGATGTTATCTACTTCTACCATCCTGAAATTATCATAACAAATACTATTCTAAAGTAAGTCATTAAGGAGATTCTGTTTGGTTTATTTTTAATATTCTCTCTTGAACACAACTTGTAGCAACATGAAAGTATCTCATAGTATTTGAATATAACGTACTTGAAGTTTTTTTGCGATTTTTTTAATATGCACCATTCTTGCCAAGAAGGAACTGAAACTTGTTCCAACAAAAGGTCAAGAAAAAGCAAGAAAGATATCTAGTGAACTGGTGGTTCAAAACAGAAGTAAGACGAAATATATGCTTGAAATCATAGTGAAGAAAAGCTCTAAATTACACAATGGCGTCAATGCAATAGACTCAAACTCAAAGAAATCCTAATTTTAAAAAACAGATAAAATGTCTTTAAGGTGTGTCACTAAGAAAAAAATGTATGATAGAGTATCTAATGTGTTCATTTTGAGAGCTGTTTGTTCAATCAGCTATTTGAACTCTGTAAACAATGTTTTCTGTACATCTAGAAATTGAGTCATTTTCTATATATGTTTATATAACAGAAATTTTTTCAAGGGATATATGAAAATGATTTTTTGTGTTAATCTGGATGTAATACATACCTCCAATTTAAATAGTCCATTTTTCCCAATGTATCAGGTAAATATTTTTCAATAGAATTTTTTTCTTCCCATTCTATTCTGCTTTCTCTTTTACAATGTCTGTTATGCCCAACATAGATCTTTTTCCCCAAAAATTCTAGGAAAGTTACAGCCTCCTTTGAAACTAGTGAAAATTACAAACCCACTTATCCAAAAGATACATAAATGACACAGCCAAAAAAAAATTAAAATTTCATCAGTTCATGGATGTCCTGAAGATCGTCTGTGACACTCCAGATTAAAATCTACCAAGTTTACAAGAGGAAAATGGTAATAACACCTTCAGGAGTCCACCATTGCACCATTACATTTGCAATTTGGCTTTTCTCCTAAAAAATCAAAATTGGAGAAATGTATTAGGATCTGCGCTTGTTCTCAAGCTATTATCTTTTGGCTCAAATCCATTTTCTATATCCTGCTTTGGATGTCAGGTTTAGAATTCTGCAAACCAGAATTCTCCTTTATGAGAGAATACTCTCCTATGTTTATGCCAAAAAGAGCAGAAAAGGAATATTGAAAGATGGGAGGAGGGAAGAAGGGACTTACTTGTTCCTGTTTTACTCACTGCTCCTATTATGGACACTCCAGCACAGCCCTTCACTCAGCTACCGGCAGTTTAGGTTCTTGTCTCCAACTTATTTTTAATTTTAATTTTAGATTCAAGGGGGATATATGCAGGTTTGTTACAACAGTATATTGTGTGATGCTGCAGTTAGGGCTTCTATTTATCCTTTCACTCTGATAGTGAACATGGCACCAAATAGGAAGTTTTTCAGCTCATCTCTCTCTCTCTGCTACCACCCCAGCAATTCCATTACTGGATATATACCCAAAGGAGAGTAAATTATTCTACCAAAAACACACCTACACTCATATGTTTATCATAGCACTATTCACAATAACAAAGACATGGAACCAACCTAGTGCCCGTCAGTGGTGGATAGAATAAAGAAAATGTGGTACATATACACCACGGAATATTACATAGCCATAAAAAGAATAAAATTGTGTCCTTTGCAGCAAAATGGATGCAGCCGGAGGCCATTATCCTCAGAGAATTAATGCAGAAACAGGAAAAAAAAATCACACGTTCTCACTTGTAAGTGGGAGCTAAACCCTAGATACGCAGGAACATAAAGATGGAAACACTAGACACTAAAAACTCCAGCATACATCTTGATTTTCTCTCAATAATTATCTTTAAAGCAGGATTTTTAGATCAGAAATTAATGCTAGACACCAAGGTAAAATTGACACGATATTTGAAAGTGATTTGCTAAATAACTACGCGCTTATTTTCAAATAATACTGACTTCAAGCAATTTCTTTGATTTTGAACACCTTCAAATACTTTGAAAATACAAAAATTTTGGGAGAATGAGTGAGATCATCTTGTGAGGATGGTATCTTAGGAGAAATCTTTGGTGTGATCTCATCCGGTTCTCCATCATGGGAAGCCTAGCTCTGGTGCCTTCCCGTCAAACCTAAGCAGATTTTGGCTGAGACCAAAAAACCTTTAATAAGTGGCAAACACTGGTGGTGTGCGGGGTGGTATAGAAGCGGCCTGAGAAATATCGAGGACCAGAGTTGCTCTGATAGCATGGATGCTAGATTGGGAAGCGTCACGGATACAGGATTGCTTCCATTTTCCTAATTTACTGGACAGGGATTTCATATGGGTTTCCAGAAGTGGATATGTGGCCCACATGAGAGATAGAAGCAAAAGTGCATACAGGACAAAATAGATGGGTATCAAGAACCCAGTAGCAAGAAGCTGGGAGTGAATGAATGAGGACTGAGGATGGAGTAACCAAGTGATTCATTAGAATGCAGATGAATCGGCCTGGCGCGGTGGCCCACGCCTGTAATCCCAGCACTTTGAGAGGCCGAGGTGGGCGGATCTCCAGGTCAGGAGTTTGAGAACATCCTGGCCAACATGTGAAACCCCGTCCCTACTAAAAATACAAAAATTAGCTGGGCGTGGTGCCGCGTGACTATAATCCCAGCTACTCCGGAGGCTGAGGCAGGAGACTCGCTTGAACCCGGGAGTCGGAGGGTGCAGTGAGCCGAGATCGAGCCACTGCACTCCAGCCTGGTGACAGAGGGAGACTCCGTCTCAAAAAAAAAAAAAAAAAAAAAAAAAAAAAAAAATACAGACGAATCTGAAACACTGAAGGAAAATGCACTTGGAACAACCTTGTATGGAATGTCCAAATAGCCTCAAAATTGTGTCCGAGAAGATAAAAGAGTCATTTTTAAACTGCAGCATAGTCCATAGAGAATGAAGCCAGTTTAGGAAAGTACTGATTAAAGTATGAACTGCGGTATTCCTGTGCCTTTCCTTCCGCAGAGATCAATGGAGCAGCTGGAAAGGAGTAAGAATAAGGAGATGCAGCCAGTAAGGAATTACAGGAGTCAATCGTGTTCTTTCCCACCACAGGCTCCCAGCCTGAAGCTGCCTGAGCTGTGGTAGGCAAGTAAACTTATCACTGGATCAATTTAGAATTTTGATTAATGTCGTGTTCTTCTGCTCTAATGATTGAATTGAGTCTTTGTTTAAAACTATTGTCAACCAACCGTCTGCCACATAAGATTAAGCAGACAACCTTTAGAAACTGCCAGAATTCTTGTCTAGATAAGACAACACTTGCTTTTTTTTTTAGATCTAGGGACAAGAGTACATTATTTCAATTAGTAAACTAAAAGGATGGTGAGAAGTAAGTCAATATAATGTAATTTAAATATATTGCGAGGCTGGATTTTTCAATATATCTTTCATCTTTATTATAATTTATCCTGAATTGTGTAATTTTTTAATTGACTGACAGTTTACCTATCTATGTATCTATCTACCATCTGTCATCTACCTATCTAAACTTCCCACAGATATTATTGAAGCATGAAAAATTAGGATCTGAAAAGATCTGAGACTCAACCACTCATTTTCATTCACATGTCACCTCCAGTCTTCCAAACTGTTAACTGCCCTGGCTTTGAACATTTATAATGAGGGATAGCGGAATACTTTGTAAGATTGTTAAGATGTAGGTAAGAATCTTACTATGCTCTTCCTTATATTCAATTGATTGGTTTCTCTTTGCAGCTTCCAACATTTTACTTTTTCTATCACATAATGTAGATCTTTTCTCTGGAATAGTATATATGAAAATTTTACATGAACAACTTTCAAGTCATCTGAATTCAGCTATTGTGTCCTCATATCGTCTCTTTGCAAATCTTATAATCATGAATTTCTTATAAGTCATGATTTTTGGCACCATCAGACATATTTCTGAACTGTTATCTATATCTATATTAAATTGTGGCAAATATTAATGGTCTAATATTTCAGAAAGAACTTTGAGTAATTTACATAAGCATGTATGTCGTTGGTATTAACTAATTTTATTTTTATTTCATCAATTAGGCGAACGCAACTAGAGCTTATATTGAGTTTATGGACTTCTTTTTTTCAATTTTCTCTTCCTTTTTATTGTTGAATGACAGTCTTCAAATAGATGTATCACAGTTTGTTTACTCATTCACCTATGGAGGGACATTTTGCTTGTTTACGATTTTTTTCAATTTTAAATAAGAAAGTGGGAACAATTGTGTACAAGTTTGTTTTACATGAGTTTCCATTTCTTTGGATAAATGCCAAAGAGTGTGATTGATGAGTCATGTGGGAAGTATATGTCAAACAACCAAGCTATTCCCACCAGCAATATATGAGACATCCAGTTCTCTGCATACTCACCAGCATTTGGTACTTCCATTATATTTTTTATTTGAAAGCTATTTTAATATGTGTATGGTGGTATCTCGGCATAGTCTTAATTTGCATTTCCTTAATGGTTAGTGATGTTGAACCTCTGTGCATATTTGCCCACTGTATATCCACTTTGGTAAAATATATATTCATGTCTTCTGCTTATTTAAAAATTTATAACCCAGGACACAGTTTATGTATCTATATATCTATATCTATCTATCTATATACACATATATGTGTGTGTGTTATCTATCTATCATCTATCTATCTATCTATCTATCTGTTGGTTACTTGAAAAGAATGTGTATTTTGTTGTTGTTGGATGGAGTGTTACATAAATATCAGTTAGATCAGGTTGGGTTTGGTGTTGTTGAACTTTTCCATATCCATGTCGACTTTCTGTCTAGTGTTCCATCAATTGTTGAGAGAGGGATGTTGAAGTCTCCAACTACAATTGCAGATTTGTCTGTTTCTAATTTTAGTTCTATCAGTATTTGATTTATTTATTTTGAGGCTGTGTTGTTAAGTGCATCCACATTTACAATTATTATGTCCTCTTGGTGAATTGACCCTCTTATCATTATATAATTATCCCTTTTTTTATTCATTGTAATTTTCCTTGCTCTTGATTCTACTTTGTCTGAAAGCAGTACCACCACTTCAGCCTCTCAATTTATTAACATCTAAACAACACTATTCAGCCTTTGCACTCAATCCCAATGATTAGAATTTTTTGGCTGGAGGCTTTTGACTGCATGTTTTTTTCAGTTTGGAATTACTATTTTTAAAATTATTTCAGTAGTTTATGGGGAACAGGCAATGTTTGGTAACATGGATAAATTCTTCAATGGTGGTTTCTGAGATTTGGGTGCATTCATCACCCTAGCAGTGTACACTGTAGCCAATGTGTAGTCTTTTCTTCTCCCCCTCCTCCCACCATTCCCCCAAGTCCCCAGAGTCCATTATGTCATTCTTATGCCCTTGTGTCCTCATAGCTTAGCCCCCACTTATAAGTGAGAGCATGCAATGTTTGGTTTTCCATTCCTGAATAACTTCAATTAGAATAATGATCTCAAATTCCATCAATAGGCAATAATGCCATTATTTCATTCCTATTTGTGGCTGAGTAGTATTCCATGCTGTGTGTGTGTGTATATATATATATATATATATATATATGCTTGATCTACTTCTTGGTTGATGGGTATTTAGGCAGCTTTCATATTTTTGTAATTGCAAATTGTATGGCTATAAGCATGCATGTGAAAGTGTATTTTTCATATAATGACTTATTTTCCTCTAGACTGATACCCAGCAGTGGGATTGCTGGATGAAATGGTGGATCTACCTTTAGTTCTTTAAGCAGTCTCCATACTGTTTTCCATAGTGGTTGCACTAGTTTATACACCCACCAGCAGTGTAAAAGTGTTCCCTTTTCACCACATCCATGACAACGTCTATTATATTTTGTTTTTTTTAATGATGGCCATTCTTGCAGGAGTAAGGTAGTATTACATTGTGATTTTGATTTGCATCTCTCTAATCATCAGTGATGTTGAGCATTTTTTCATATGTTTCTTGGCCATTTGTATATATTCTTTCGAGAATTGTCTATTCATTTCCTTAGCCCCATTTTTGATGGAATTATTGTTTTCTTGCTGATTTGTTTGAGTTCCCTGTAGATTCTAGATATTATTCCTTTGTTGAATGCATAGTTTGTGAATTTTTTATCCCACTCTGTGTGTTGTCTGTTTACTCAGCTGATTATTTCTTTTGCTGTGCAGAAGCTTTTTAGTTTAATTAAGCCCCATCTATTTACCTTTCTTTCGTTGAATTTGTTTTTGGGTTATTGGGAATAAACTGTTTGCCTAAGCCAATGTCTAGAAGAGTTTTTCTGATGTTATCTTCTATAATTTTTATGGTTTCAGGTCTTAGATTTAAGTCATTGATCCATCTTGAGTGATTTTTGTATAAGATGAGAAATGAGGATCCAGTTTCATTCTATATACATGTGGCTTGCCAATTATCCCAGCACCACTTATTGAATAGGATGTCCTTTCCCTACTTTATCTTTTTGTTTGCTTTCTTGAAGATCAGTTGGCTGTAAATATTTGACTTTTTGTCTGGGCTCTCTATTCTGTTCCACTGGTCAATGAGCCTATTTTTATACAAGTGCCATAACCTTGAAGTAGAGTTTGAAGTTGGGTAATGTGATACCTGCAGATTTGTTCTTTTTGCTTAGTCTTGCTTTGGCTATGCAGGCTCTTTTTTTGTTCCATGTAAATTTTATGATTGTTTTTTCTAGTTCTGTGAAAATGATGGTGATAATTTGATGGGAATTGCATTGAATTTATAGATTGCATTTGGCATTATGGTCATTTTCACAATATCGATTCTACCCATATATGAACATAGGATGTGTTTCCATTTGTTTTTCTCTTCTATGATTTCTTTCAGCAGTGTTTTGTAGTTTTTCTTGACATTTTTTATCTTCTTGGTTAGGTATATTCCTGAGTTTTTTAATTCTTTTGCAGCTGTTGTAAAAAAAGTTGAGTTCTTAATTTGTTCTCAACTTTGTCGCTGTTGGCGTATAGCAGTGTTACTGAGCATGTACACTGATTTTGTATCCTGAAACAATATTGAATTCATTTATTAGATCTAGAATCTTTTCAGATGAACCTTTAGGGTTTTCTAGGTATACAATCATATCATCAGTGAACAGCGACAGTTTGACTTCCTCTTTACTAATTTGGATGTGCTTTCTTTCTTTTGTCTGATTGCTCTTGCTAGGACTTCCACTGTTATATTGAATAGAAGTGGTGAAATTGAGCATCCTTATGTTGTTCCATTTCTCAGGGAGAATGCTTTCAACTTTTCCATGTTCAGTGTAATGTTGGCTGTGGGTTTGTCATAGATGGTTCATTACCTTAAATTATGTCCCTTCTATGCCAATTTTGCTGAGAGTTATAATCATAAAAGGATGCTGAATTTTGTCAAATGCATCTATTGAGATAATCATGTGATTTTTAAAAATTCTGTTTATGTGGTGTATCACATTTATTGACTTGCATATGTTAAACCAACCCTGCATCCCTGGTATGAGACCCACTTGATCACAGTGTATTATCTTATTGATATGCCGTTGGATTCTGTTAACTATTACTTTTCTGGGATTTTTGCATCTATGTTCATCAGGGATATTGGTCTATAGTTTTATTTTTTGTTATGTCCTTTCCTGGTTTTGGTATTAGGGTAATACTGGTTTCACAGAATGATTTAGGGAGGATTCCCTCTTTCTCTGTCTTTTGGAATATTCCCAGTAGGATCAATACCAATTCTTCTTTGAATGATTGTCTGATAGAATCCAGCTGTGAATCCATCAAGTCCTGGACTCTTTTTATGTTGGCATTTTTAAAATTATTATTACAGTTTCAATCTCACTACTTGTTATTGGTCTGTTCAGAGTTTCTATTTTTCCTGATTTAATCTAGGAGGTTTGTGTATGTCCAGGAATTTATTCATCTCTTCTAGGTTTTCTAGTTTGTGTGCGTAAAAATATTTATAGTAACTTTGAATGATCTTTTGTATTTCTGTGGTATCAGTTGTAATGTCGCCCGTTTTGTTTCTAATTGAGCTTATTTGAATCTTCTCTCCTCATTTCTTGGTTGACCTTGCTAATGGACCATTGATTTTGTTTAGCTTTTCAAAGAATCAGCTTTTTGTTTCATTTATCTTTTTTTTTTGATGTTGTTATTGTTTCAATTTCATGTAGTTCTGCTCTAATCTTTGTTATTTCTTTTCTTCTGTTGACTTGGGGTTTGGTTTGTTCTTATTTCTCTTGTTCCTTCAGGTGTAAACTTAGATTGTCCATTTGTGCTCTTTCAGACTTTTTGATGTAGGTATTTAATGATATGAACTTTCCTCCTAGCCTCACTTTTTGCTCTTTGCCAGAGGTTTTGATAGGTTTTGTCACTATTACTATTCAGTTCAAAGAGTTTTTACATTTCCATCTTGATTTCATTGTTTACCCAATGATCATTCAGGAGCAGATTATTTAATTTACACGTATTTGTATAGTTTTGAGGGTTCCTTTTGGAGTTAATTTCCAATTTTATTCCAGTGAGAGAATACTTAATACACTTGATTTTTTTAAATTTATTGAGACTTGTTTTGTGGCCTATCATATGCTCTATCTTGGAGAATCTTTCATGTGCTGATGAAAACAATGTATATTCTGAAGTTGTTGGGTAGAATGTTCTGTAAATATCTGTCAAGTCCATTTGCTTAGAGTGTAGTTTAAGTCCATTGTTTCTTTGTTTACTTTCTGTCTTGATGATCTGTCTAGTGTTGTCAGCGGAGTATTGAAGTCACCCACTATCTTCGTTTCTTAGGTCAAATAGTAATTATTTTATAAATTTGAGAGCTACAGTGTTAGGTGCATATTATATTTAGGATTGCGATATTTTCCTTTTGGACTAATTCTTTTATCATTATATAATATCCCTCTTTGTCTTTTTTAACTGTTGTTGCTTTAAGTTCTGTTTTGTCTTATTAAAAATAGGTATAGGTACTCCTGCTCACTTCTGGCTTCCATTTGCATAGGATATATTTTTTCATTCCTTTATCTTAAGTTTATGTGAATCCTTATGTGTTAGGTGAGTTTGTTGAAGAAGTAGTCGAGTTTTGCAGGTGATGGACAGGGCCGTAGAGTTCCTAAGAATTTGTCTTCTGTCTTCAGCTACCAGCGTGAGTAGAGAAATGTCATTAAGTAGGGGTAGGATTAGGTGTGTCTGAGCTCAGACTCTCCTTGAGCAGGGCTTGCTGCAGCCACTGTGGGGCATGGGGGTTGGTTCTCCGGCCAATGGGATTATGTTTGCAGGGGGATTATGGCTGCCTCTTCTGCATCATACAGGTCACCAGGGAAGTGGGGGAATGCTGGCAGTAACGGCCTTACCCAGCTCCCATGCAACCATCAAGGCCAGTCTCACTCCTGCCATGCCCTGCCAACAACACCGAATTTATATCCAGGCAGCTGGTGAGCAGAGCTGAGATATTGCCCCAGGCTACAAGCCTCTGCACTGAGAAAGCAAGCAGGGCTCTCAGGCCTTGCCCCTTCCCACCTGACTGCACCTTCAGCTGCAGCTTCTATGCTTGTATCTGTACTTCCTGTTTGCCCAACCCCAGATTCTGCTCAGGAAAATTTGTGCTCCATCAAAATTATTACCAAGTTTAGCTAGAAGCTTCCTTCGCCCCATTGCCCCTCCCCAATTCCACTGGTTGCCTTCTCCAAGGACCCCTTGGAGATAAAGCCAGGGATGGCTTTCCTGGGCTCAAGCTGGAAACTAGAACTGCCTACAGGGCTCTTCCCACTACATCTTCTATTTTTATATTTCACTCGGCTCTCTAAATCCATTTCAGCTCTAGGTAAGGTTAAATTATTCTCCCATGATCTGGATTTTCGGGTTCCCCAGTGAGGATGTGCATTCAGAGACAGACTTTTTCCCCACTCACTCTTTGGGAACTCACACTTTTCTGGCTATCTCATGGTGTTTGCAGTGGTAAGCCACTTCTTTCAAAGGATCTGTGAATTATTTTGTTTTTTTCTGGTATGTTCCTGCTTTGGCTCTTGGAGCAAAAGTTGATAATGTGAGTCTCCACAGGCTGTTCTATCTATCCAAGTGGAAACTGCACATCAGGCTTGTCTCTTATCCACCATTTCACCTCAGGCCATCTGAACAGTTTAGGAACTTCTAAAACATTAGATATTATTAAGGTAAATTTCTATTAACCCAAGTTTATGCCACCTTGTATCATACAAATTGATATAGTGAAGATTATTTTTCATAATTAAAAACATATATTCTATAAATTAAACTAGCTAGATTTAGTCTGTAATTCCAATATTTTAAAGTGGTTTTAAATTTCTGTTATTTTATTGAACCCATTAAATATTCTTTCAATTTTTCTGTACCAACAGTTTTAAAAACAACATTTTATATTTAAATTTAATTAATTTATACAAAAAAATAAAGCAGCAGACACCTCAATTAACTTTAACCTTCATAGTTTTGGAGCAGTTCTATAAAAATAATTTTAATCTAATATAGCTCACATATTGCACACATTTACAAGCATATCAAAGGAGATTTTTAGTAATTTGTTAAAATAAGTATAACCACAACTGGCTTCAATTCTGTCACATTTAATGCCAAATTCAAGGGAATTTTTCATGCATTATCTAACTTAACTGCAGAATCAGATATGATCTGTTTAAGTAGTTCTTTTTGATTTCAACAGATGAAAACCCAATTCAATTCACACTACTTTAGGACAAAGATGTAATTTATTGGCTGTTAAATTTAGTTTATTTAAACTTTTTTCATAATTTTCATCCAAATCATTGTCATTCATTGGTTGGAATATTGTAATTGCTTTCCATTTTCCTTTCTCCCACTCCATTCAGTCACTAAGTAAGTATCTTTGTAAAACAAAATCAGATAATTTTACTCCCCAAATATTAATTCACCAGTGCCCTTAAATTACCTGTAAAGTCCAAAATGATTTTGATCATTCTGTCTTCCTTAGACATATATCCTATTTTGATTATAATACTTAGGATACCTGAACTGTGTATATGTGTGTATATATATATATATATATATAATTACATTTGCCAGTTTTCTGATGCAAGTCTAATACCTATTTCTTAAGTATAATGTACCAATTTAAATGTCTAATTTAGGAAAAAAACATCTTAACACACCCATCTACTTTTATAATTTTACATTCCTTAGATGTGAATAACAACTTATAAATATTTGCGAGTCAATCTGCATGTAGATGACTTCTAGATTTTTTAAACAATTTTCTATTTTTTTTTACCATTTTGTGTTTTTTAATATTTATACCATTCAGCATTTTTTTCTCTCTACTTGGTTTCATGTAGTCTTTCCAAGTGAGTCTACTTTTCAAAAAAGCATATCCTCCTTCCTCTCAATAGTCATATTTTATCTGACCCTAAATTAAATTAATCTACGATAAAATGATTAAAACTAACACAAAGCACTTTTGCACTTTCAGGAATGAGTATAATTAGTGTTTGGTAAGAGCACATCTCAACATGTAGATGGAGAACTTTGAAACATGTCACAGAATAACCCATTAGCATAACATGTTCAATAAGTATAAGCATTAGTCATTATTTTTCACATAAAGAATGAAGTGTATATAAAACAGATTGCTGATTCAGGTAAGTTAATTAACAGAGCTTATAATTTTCTAATTCCCCATCAGTACCTAATTCCACCATGTGGTCACAAGTCTCTTTCTTTTCAATACAGCACTTATAAATATGCAATTTTATTTAATATTGTTGTCATCCGGCTGGTTTCTAGAGATAGAAAAAGAAAACAAGGATATCTCTCTTAACTACATTTCTTCTATAAAACTCAGACTCATCATTTTAGACTTAATTCATTGATTGCATCTGATAAAGATTAAAATATTCAATTACAAGTTCCCTGCTCTGAAGAAGGTGTTGCTCATTCTTTATCTTATTTAATAGTAGAGAGCAAACTTGTGTTGGGAAAGTATCTATTATAATTATTATCTGTAGGTCTTTATTAATGAACAACAATATAGGCTATGATGTAATCCAGAGCAGAAACAGAGTTTTATTTAGATTTTAAATTGTTCGGTTTTATGGTAGAGAAGATGGTAGGTAATCAAAGAGATAGCATGTATTGACTACTTACGAAGTTCTAGGAAATCTGCTAAATGTTTTACATGTATTAGTTCATTGCTGTTCTATAGAATATAACAAAATGAATACTATTAGCGTTTAAAGTCTGCAGATAATATGTTGAAAGTGAAAGAAATTACAATTTTCTCAAGGAATGTCTTACAGTAAGTGAGCAAATTCTGTCTGAGCAAGTTATGGTAAAAATTTGATACTATGTTCTTGGTCTCCTGGTATTTACACACTAATGGTGTAGTCATGTATCAGTCAAAGGGTTTTAATAATGAATGCATAATTACACATTGGGAGAATTGCACAAAATTGAAAGATAAATTATTTACTATTACATTTGATGCTTTTGTTCTTGAATTCACAATATACATTGTATTTACTTGTTCAATGCCATCAGCTATACATTTGTGATCATGTCTTATATTACATTGTGGACAACAAATAATATTCATACAGGTATTTTTATTTAAGTCATGGGTGCAAACTACTTCCAAATTTCTGAAATTATCCCCATGTGCTAGTTTCATTTAGAAAAACTGTGTTATTTTGTATCATATTTGTTAGTATTTTACAATGTTACTAAGATTCATTGAGTCTCTCTTCCTACTTTAGTCTTTGTGCCTCAAAAACATGTCATACATATATGAAAATACAAATGTTTTATTAACCAAGTTACTTAAGAGATTTTATTTCTGATATCTCTTTGTAAAGGATGCAGTTTTTTAAAAGAAATGTTCTTGTAGACTTGTCACATTATTATTATTAATAATTTTGTCTTCACTCCTTAAACTTCACAGTTATCTACACTTGTTTTTCAAATAAACCACTTCATGAGAAAGCTGGTGAATACATTTTGCTATTATCAGTGTGACTGATGATTATAGTTATCTCTTAATCATATTGATCTTAGTCTTGAGTCATACTTATTGGGTGGAAATCAATATTAATTGATTGGAACTATTACCAGTGAAGGTATCAGATTGATTTAGTTGTTCAAAGTTAATTTTATGAATGATCTATGTTTCTGGTAAATCTATTGTTTTTTATTATTTTACCAATACTTATAATAGCAATTACATAACAATGTAGGTTAGTTTAAAAGTTATACATGTTGTATGTCAACAAAGAAGTTTGCATTCAGCAATGTAACATTTTTTTAAAGAAGCCCCTATCCACAAAAGGAAAAATAAAGTTTCATCAATGAAAGGATTATTTGAGAATGAAGAATTTCACATTAGTTTTATTCAAATCTTATTATTCTGTATTTGCAATCAAACAGTAGAAGGTTGCCAAATAAATACAAACATGTATAAGTGGAACAGATTTACCATCCAGAAATAAAGCCAAATATACTTACAAACCTAATCAAGTCTCTGAGTATAGAATGTCTTATTTAATAAGTAAAATGAGAAGAAAGTCAAACATAAATTTATATTTCATATTATACACCAAATTGATCTCTAGTGCATATAGTGACAGGCGAGATATTTCTAGTAAGAACTTCCCTTATGCCTCACACTCCTTCCCTGCCCACACCTCCCCTGGAAGAAAAAAAAAGTCCAGAAGCAAATCGGGATCACAGAAGCTCTTAAATTATCCATGTCTTGGAAATTCACTGTTGAGCAAACTTAGTAATATTAGAAAGATATTAGTGTGTTACTGTAAAAGCTTGATATGGCTAATATATTTGTTGTAGAAATTCACCGTAAACATGTTATACAGAAAATTTGTGAACACTAGAAGATTATTAAGACAAATATAAGTATTTACTTAATTTTTAAAGTGGTTTTAAATAGTTGGCTTTAAAACATTTAAGAAAAATACTACATATGTCATGGCTCCAATAATGATTTCGCTGTTTGAATACTCAGTGTTATTTTCATCACTCGTACAGACAATTCTAAGAAGGGGAATTGCCTTTATTATTTCTGCAATATTCTTAGAAAAAATAATTTAAAAAACTTGAAATACTGAACTATGTGAAGTTTTAAAATTTACATATAAACATACATCATCAGAGAGAAACTGAAAATGACAGACTAAGGAAGAAAAAACATTATGTGTATAAAGAATCTCTCTTTACCTTAAATAATCTAAAAGACATTTTTAAATAGATATAGCAATCTATATCATGGTAACTTTCAGAAAATACAACTAAAAGAGGATTTTTTTTTCCAGTGGAAAGTGCTTCAGTAGACACTAAGTCTAATCATGTACATAAAGGTAAACATAAAGATGAAAATTATAGCTACAACTAGATAATATTTTTTAATCAAATCTTAAAGTTGGTTGCTGCTGACATTACTGGATCAAAGTTGGAAATCTGTTTCTACTACTGTATACAACAAAACACTTGTTTAACTAAAATTATCTAATCTTCAGATAAAATGTTTGATATGGTTTTAATCAAAGCTACAAATTATATCCTTGTCGAAATAACTTTTCTTCTCTGAATTTTTTTTAGATTTTTCTTCTAAAATTAAAACTGTGAATTTACTATTCTCACTAGAGAACCAAGAGATTTAAATTGCTTCTGCGTGACTGCTCTCCCATTGATCAAATATGGAATATGAGTCTGATCAGTCACTCATAGTATCCTCTGATCATATGACTTCCTAAATATTCAAACAAACCTCTTTTCAATACATAAACTTAGAGAAATAATTAATTGGTATCTTCATTCGTGGTTTCTGGTGAAGGCAAGTATGTTATATTATTGTATTAGTCCATTCTCACGATGCTATAAAGAACTGCCTGAGACTGGGTAATTTATTTAAAAAGAGGTTTAATTGACACAGTTCTGCATGGCTGGGGAAGTCTCAGGAAACTTACAATCATGGAGGAAGGGAAGCAAATACGTCCTTCTTCACATTATAACAGGAAGGAGAAGAAATGAGAAATGAGCGAAGGGGAAATCCCCTTATAAAACTGTCAGATCCCATGAGAACTCACTATCATGAGAACACCGTGGGGGTAAATTGCCCCCATGATTCAATTACCTCCCACCAGGTTCCTCCCCTGACAATGGGCTTACAATTCAGGATGAGATTTGAGTGGGGACACAAAGACAAACCATATCAATTATCTACTAACAAAAGTTTTGTTATGGAATACTTGATTAATAATTTAACTCTAAATTGTAATGAAGCTGATATTTCAAATACATTTCTTCCATGAATGATCATGACAGTAACTTCTACTTTACATTTTGTAGGAAGGAAAAAGCAACACTGGATAATATGTTATTAAGAGACAGTCCAGCCAAATTACTTAAATGATTTAAAAACTAAGAAAAAATTATTTGCTAAAAAAAGATATTATCTACTGCAGCTCCAGATGGTAAATATGTAGCTTTTGTTACTGTTTCTCTGACAAATTTGGTATCATTTCTGAATAACAACTGATATACATATATATGAATATATTCATATATATTTATATTCATTTTCATTCTTTTTTTTTTTTAAATGGAGTTTCATTCTTGTCACCCAGGCTGGAGTGCAGTGGCACGATCTCAGCTCACTGTGACCTCCACCTCCCAGGTTCAAGGTATTCTCCTGCCTTAGCCTCCTGAGTAGCTGGGATTACAGGTGCCTGCCACTGCCCAGCTAATTTTTTCTTTTTTTTGTATTTTTAATAGAGAGATGGGGTTTCACCATATTGCACAGGCTGGTCTCAAACTCCTGACCTCAAGTGATCCTCCTGCCTTGGCCTCCCAAAGTGCTGGGATTAAAGGCGTGAGCCACCGCACCCAGCTCATTCTTCTAAATTACACATATTCATTATTGAAATTAAAGAAAAAACACTTAACACAGCTATCTTTTGTATGATGGTATTTTCCTCCTTCACTGAAGACATTTGAAAATCAAAAAAGTGTCCCTCTGCCTTTAATTCATGATTTCTTTTACATTTATATCTATTTTTCATGGCCTTTTTTTAGCATAGTAAAAAAGTCTTTTTTTTCTCTCTTAGAATTATTTTATATACATCAGGAAGGCGGTCTGATTGCCCTTATATAACTTCTGTGTGATTAGTAAAATTATTATTGAAAATTAATGTTTTTGTCTTTATCTATACAACGCATAATATATTTATAATTCTCCAGGGTTTACAAAGATCCTTTTTACAACTTCCCATTCTGCAAAACAATGATGACAAAAGATATTCATGTTAACAGAAGGAAATATTTACCCAGTCTAATTCTGACATGTGTTTGGCAACCTATTCTATATTGCATTTGAAGACATTTTGAAGTAATTTAACCTAAATCTTATGTTTACAATAGTAAGGTAAAAAGCAAGAGAGTTTCTTTATAAAAATTAAATGTTTCGTAAAGAAATTCATTGCAAATCACCTTCCCATATCTTTAAACCAAAGGGGCAGAAACCAATTTTATATACTAGGCTGGTATGCTTTTTATGGATTATTTTTTAAAGAAGCACGGTGAGCATGAACAATGACTAGAATGCATAATGCATGGGAAGATGAACAGTGAATAATAAAGTTTTAATTTAAACAAGAACCTGTTTCTCTCAAGGCTCAATAGTTTGATCAACACACTGTATTTTAAAATGCAGCTTATAACCTACCATGCTAAAATAGCTAGAATAATGTGTTTCAGATACAGTGTGAATTAAGAAATCTCATCTTTTGGTTACATGTCTCAGGAAGTTGGACTTTTCCCTTTAATAAATATTTCAATCTAAAGAGAGACGCCTCAGTAAAATGAAAACAAATGACAGGACTGTCCCTAAAGAGACAGTGTATTATTTTAAAATGGATGAAATGGTCTGTGCTCTGCCCTATGACAGTTAAATGCTCAAAATGAGACAACCAAAAATAGAGTTAACTCATTCTCACAAATAAGAATTTGGTCTCCATTTTTTTTCTAATTTGAGATAAAAAGAATAGAAGTAAAATAGCACAAAATCTAAAAAATATTCCTACAAAAATCACATTTAACAGTTACCAGGGAGATAGTACAATCATAAATAATATCACTGTAAGCTAGAGCTAACCTTATTGATTACTACATTAATATATTTCATTACAGGTACTCAAAAAATACAAAACAATTGTTAAATATTTATTAGTAAATAAGGTTTTTTAAAATGAACTATTATTCTCTGAGACCTTAGATTTAAATTTGAAATTTATATTAGACCAAAAACTGGGAATTGGATGTGAAATAAATACAATCCCTTGGCATCTCTCCTGATGTCATATATCATTATTTTTGTGACCCATGATGATGGCTCGTGGTATTGAGTTCTGAGTGTTCTATTTATTTTATCCTGATAAAATTCTAAAACTTTGTAAAATCTCTGTAAAATATGTCCTTCAGCTTGCTCACTAGTCACAATATAGTACAAAAAATGTAGCGAATATATCAATATGTGTACATGTGTAATCATATAATTTTTGACTTTCTTTTTCATTTTCATTTTACTTTGTTGGGGAATACTATTTGTAAGCATTAAAATGCAGCTATGTTAGGCTACAAGAAAATATTAATATTAGCCAGATAAAATTTATCTTTCAAATGTCTCTCTTTGGAAATACAGATGAAACTTGAGTAAGACAAATTTTATACTTTATCCAAGGAGTTTATAGTCTTGTGCAATGAACACAGAAGGGACATTACAGTGAACAAAATTACAGCACAGTGAGATTGATAATTTCATGGAAAATGTATGAAAGGCTATGATATACTTATAGAAAATCAACCAGACCCTGGAATTGATGAAAATTTCTGGATCAGCATAAATAATTCAAGTAACAGAAATGGAGAACTAAACATTTCCAAACGGAAAAAAAATTTAAAAAAAACAACAACAACAACAGTAGAAAGTCCTGTAAGAACAAAGAAGCATTGTGCTTTGAGAAAATGAGTATAATATCATTAGACTTAGAGAGGCAGTTGGGGAGACAGACACATAATCTAGGAAGTGAAGGATATGTAGGCCCGGTGAAGGGCTTTGGAATTTATCTTGAGAACAATGGAAAGTTATTGAAGATTTGTAAGTGAGAACCAGAGATCCATCCAGTAGCTTAGTGAAGATTGGGGCAGGGGGAAGCTAAAACCAGAGACAGCAAGATACATTAGAAGATGGTGCCATAATTTACTTTTCTTAAAAAGGTTACTCGTCTGTCTTTATACCAGTGGTTCTCAAAGTGAACCGTCAGATCCCTGGAGGGTTTCTGAGATAAATTCAGGAATCCATAAGATAAAAATGAGTTACATAATAATAGGAAAACTTTATATTTCTACTTCATTATGTTGTCATTTGCACAATGCAACCTCATGGGAACAAAAGTTCAGTTTCATTTATGAATGTTCTAGATAAAGCAGTACTTTTAAAAAATTTATTAAATCTCTACTCTTAATGTCTTTTTTAATATTCTGTATCACAAAATGAGAAATACACATAAAGTCCTTCAGTTGCATGCATAAGTATGAGGCTATCTTGAGTGAGATCACTTGAACAATTGTTTGAGTTACGAAATGAACTTGCAGCTTTTTGTTTTTGGAATATCATTTTACTTGAAAGAAAGCCTGAATATAAATTATGGTTTCATATGTTTGTGGATGTCCAGACATTTTCTCAAAATAAAGGAAGCCTAGTAATTCTGATATACAATTAATGTTACTTGTTGATCTAGAACATAATGTGTTCTAAACACTCTTTACTTCCTCATTTCCAGGTATGCCCAGGACAAGAGAGTTCAAGCAATTTACCCAAATTTATACAACTAGCACACCTTTGTTAGATTTTTAGTATATTGCATTTTGTTAAAATTTCTAATATCAGAAGAGAAAATTGGTATACTATTCTTTCTATAATTTCCAGGAGAAATATATAGGTATCAGCTTTCAAGTGACAGAAATAAGAATGAAAAAATATATACTAAATGGCATTTTTTTCCTTAGAAAAATACTGGTATCTGAGCCCCACACTCAGATATTCTGAATTAAAATTGATGCAGGATTTTTTTTTTTTTTTTTTTTTGCTCCTTAGTTCAGCTAAAATACAGGTTCTTGTCTCATGACCAGGAAAACTTAGGCACGCAAAGACATTGAAGGGTGAGGAGGATGGATTTATTAGGAGAAAGCTCTCAGTGCAGAAAAACGGGGTGCTACCAACAGGCTCCCATCTCATAGATTGAATACCAGGCCACTACACACAGCTGAAGAGTCCTGGCTCCTCCCCTGCATAAGGCATAAATTCCTGGAGGCCCCACACCATTCTCCCAGCGCTCATGCAGGCCCTTAATCTGAGCCACTCCACAGTGACTTATTTCCCTTATGATGCATGTATTAAGGGACAAAATTTTTCACAATGGGCATGTTTAGGCAAGCCCCTTGTGCACAATGACCTGGGTAGCATTTGGCTGTCTCCTGTCTCTATCAGTATGAATTGATTTTTTTTAAACCCCAGATGATTTTAATGTGTAGTAAAAATTGACAATCACTGGTCAAAGAAAGAAAAACAGAAAAGAAAGGAAAAAGAACAACAATGAAAAAGAAAAAACAGTAGGCTAGATTGTGGTTTCCTTTGTAAGTTAGTTATGCTAAGAATCTAAGGTAACACTAATAAAACTTTTGTCAAATGTGATTGCATCTAAAGTGTATCTCAGATCTCTGTGGATTGCATATTTTTCTTTACTTTGTTATTAAGAAAACTATTGGCCTTGTAAATTTATGTTTTATATAAGGATGAGTTAATTAACAGTTAATTCTGGGATCCAGATTACTTCAAAGATGGCTAATTTCCTAATTTCTGAGAAAGAAGTAATAAATGCTAGACTTCCTGTCCTCTAAAGGAGAAGTAGAGAGGATTAAGAATGTATGACTCCAAGCCACTAGTCCTAATTACATAACTTATCAACTTTTGGATCTTAACGGAAAACTGTAAATAGCAGCCAAATATTCCACTTAGATTGACTGAAATATCTTACAGTTACAATTGCCTTAGCAAAAGCAAACACAGTTTAGCAGAAAATTTTTATTCTTTTAGGCAAATAGGCTAACCAAATAATCTCCTTGCTGACAAAAGGAAATGAAGTGAAATATTTTAATTTTGATTAGCTATTTAACTTTTAAAAATGCATAAATAATATTTGTATTCTGCACAAACTTAACATGAATTGCTTATAGCTCTAATGTTACAAGATATTCATAAAGCATATTCATGAATATGTTGCATAGTATTTAAATGCATCAATAAGTAGCAGTTTTGCATTACACAACATACAAACATTCATTTACTGAGTTTGTTGATCCATTTGCAATTCTTCCACCATTATTTAGACCTGATTTTCATACTCTTATTGTTATGTAAACAGACTACTCTATTAATTTAACTTCAGAATTCCAGCTCACTAGACAGCTTAATGTTCTTGTTAACAATTGCTCTTGTTCTTTGTATTAAAACTGCAATTTTGTGAAATCTTGTAGTAAGTATGAATATAGATTTACTAATGAAGTAAAGCTATTAATATATGAATATAAATTCATTTAACTCTGCAGAATGCATACTTAATGGAACATACAGTTAGAATTTACTACTGTAATTTTCTTACTTGTTTTCTGGTTGTTTTATAGGTCTTCTTTTCCTTTCTTACTGTCTTTCTTTGTGGTTAAGTGGTTTCCTCTGGTGGTATGTTTAAATTTCTTGCTTTTAAATTGTTAATGTATTTATTATAGGTTTTTTTATTTGTGGTTACCATGAGACTTACACAAATCCTTATAGTAAAAACAAGTACTTTTAAACTGATGAGAACTTAACTTTGAATACAAGGAAACAGAAATAAGCAAAGGAAAAACTTAAAAAAAAAAAAAAGCCCTCTACACTTTAACTCTATTCCTCCCCCCACTTTTTGACTTTTGTTATTTCAATGTGTGTGTATATATATATATATTTCCTATTTTAAACAAATTGTTGTAGTTATTATTTTGATAGGCTTTTCTTTTAGTCTTTTTTCTAAAGATATGAATGGTTTACACACCACAATTACTGTATTGAAAAGTGTTCTGTGATTTGTCTGCGTGCCTACCAATGGGTTTTTATACCTTCAGATAATTATTGTTGCACAGTAGTATCATTTTCTGTTAGGCTGAAGATTCTATTTAGCATTTCCTGAAAGATAGGTCTGATAATGATGAATTCTTTCCTTTTTGTTTGACAAGGAAAGTCTTTATCTCTCCTTCATGCTTAAATGATTGCTTTGCTGGGTACAAAATTCCCATTCCCTTCTGGGCTATATGGTTTTTGTTGAGAAATTTGTTGCCATATGAACTGGACCTTCTTTATAAGTTAATTGCCTCTTTTTGCAGCTGTTTTTAGTATCCTCACTTTTCCTTCACTTTTGAGATTTTGATTATTATATGACTTGGGGTGTTCTTATTTGTATTGAATTGTCTTGGTGTTCTCTGTCCTTCTTGTACCTATACATTCATGTTTCTTTAAATATGTAAAGTTCTCTGTTGTTATTTCTGTGAATAGGCTTTTTATTCCTATCTCTTTCTGTACTCTTTCTTTAAGGCCAATGACTCTTAGATTTGCCCTTCTGAGGCTGTTTTCTTGATCTTGTGTCTTGAAGTACACTTGTAAGTATAATTCATTCTTTTGCATTCTTCATTTATTTTCTTCTCTTTTGATTTTATTTTTAAATGGCAGTCTTCAAACTCACTAATTCTTTCTCCTGTTTGATCAGTTCTGCTGTTCAGACACTCTGGTGCATTTTCAGTTCATTAATTGTGTTTTTCAGCTCTAGGATTTATTTTTGATTTAAAAAAATATTTCAATCTCTTTGTAAAATTTCTCTGATAATTTTTTAATTGATTCACTGTGTTTTCTTGAACTTTAAATAGCTTCCTCAAAACAGCTATTTTGAATTTTCTATCTGAGAGTTCACATAATTTCATCATGTTAGAGTTGGTCCCTGGCACCTTACTTAGTCTATTGTTGAGGTCATGTTTTCCTAATTGTTCTTTATGCTTTTGGACATTTCTCAATGTCTGTTCATTGAGAAGTTGGATATTTATTCCAATCTCCAAAGTCTGGCCTTTTTTGAACCTATCCTACTTCAGAGCACCTTCCAAGAATTCAAAGAGGGTTGACTGTTGAGTTTCCTAATCCTGTGTTCACTGCAGCAATTTCAGCACTAAAGGGTGCCCTAAGTTCAGATATGCTGTGATTCTTGCAGACTCCTGGATAACCAGTCCTGATGCACTTTGAGAAGATGAGGGAGATTTCCCTGCGTCCCCATGAAAAGTTTCTTGCTCTTTTCCTTCTCTTTCTCCCAAGTGGAATGAGTCTTTTACCATTCTTGGACGTCTAGAGTTAAAGGGAGGGGTAACATGGCCACTCCCATTCCTGCTGCAGCTGGCAACATGCTAAGTCACAGCAAAAGCTCACAGCCTAAGACACCAGGGAAGCATCAGGGCTTGCCCAAATCCTGCAGCTTGCCCACTACTGTGTGACTGCCACTGATGTTTAGTCAAGGTCCACAGTAACTTTAGTCTTCAGGTGGTGAAGCCACCTGGGACTCATGTCCAACTCACCAGGTCAGCAGATTCCTTTCTGTCCTGGGGTGGGGCCAGAAAACATCATTCCCAGGAAGCATCATTTCCAAGAATGTCATGAAATAGGGGACTTTGAAATTCTGCCTGGTGCTCTGTTTTATAAACTGTGGCTAGGGTGATACCAGGTTGCAAGACAAAATCCTCTATACTCTTCCTTTTCCTTCTCCCAATTGAAATGAGTCTCACTCCATGCTGCATTTCCTGGAATTGAGGAAGGGATGACACAGACACGCTCATGGCCACCACAGCTGGTGTTTCACTCAGTGTTTCACACCCAAGCTCACAGCCTCTGAGACCAGAGCAGCACTGGAGCTCAATCAAGGACCACAGTCACCACAGCTTGTCTGCCACTGAAATTTGTTCAGGGTCCAAGGCCACTTTAGTCAGCCAGTGGTGAGCCAGGACTCAGGTTCTTCCTGCTGGGGCAGCAGATTTCTCTCTGGCCCAGGGCTTGTCTAAATGCTTCCTCTATGAGAACTGGCAGAATTCTATTCAGTGCTGAGTTCCACTGTGATGGGGTGACACTGAGTTCCAATGCAAAGCCCCACACTCACGTCACTCTGCTTCTCCCAAGCCCACAGGTTCTCTCTCTGCACTGAGATGCCTTGGGTTTGGTGGACAGGTGGTGTAGGCAAAGAAAAACTGTCCTTTCTGTCCCCTTCAATTAGCCTTTTCTTGTTATTGTGCAACAACCAGGTACTTGATTCTCTCATGTGATTATTTTGTTCTTATGAAGGTGCTTTTCTAGGCGGAGAGTTGTTCTCCTTGATAATTCCATTGGGGGACAATTGGAAGCTTCTATTTGGCCGTTTTGCTCCACCTCCTCAGAAAATCCTATCTTCTAAACACTTTTGTTAATTTAGAACTATTAAAATAAAGTTTTATTAAAAACAAACACAAAAAGAACAGGTTCAGTGGAAAAAATCTTGCACAAGCATTGAAAACTTTTGTTTGCAAATTATTCAATATTTTGTAATTGATAATGCATCTGTGTGGTGTCTAGGGTGAGTCATAGCTTTATTTTAATAAGTATTTTAGTCAGTTTTATTATGCAATATTTATTTTATTATGTGCTTTATTATTTTAAATAGACAAATAAGCATTTACAATGTTAACATTTTAGGTATATGTGGTGTTTGTTACCATATGGCATTTTAAAGTTGTTTATATTAAGTTTAATATTTTTTAGAAAATAGTCACATATGTGACTATTTTTTGTATAAGATACAACTTCAGACAATAGCAAACAAAATACTTACTATTATCACCTGCTTCTTGCATGCACAGACAAATTTTTAGCAGTGGAAAACTATATTATCTATTTTAATCACTCCCACTCGCATTATGGATAACCTCAATAGATAATTTGAGGTTGTGGTTTAGTTGACTATTCTCATAAGAAAATGTATAAACCATATACTTACCCTTTTGTAGCCAAACAGTTTCTATGGAATAATTATCCAAAAAATAATATAGTATAATTTTTTAAGTTATAATACTATGTTTCATACATTCAGGTAAGTTGTAGAAGGCTGACCATTTCTATACTCTTATCATAAGAACTTAAATTTTATGAAAATGTATTAAAAATAAAAAATATTTGCATAAAATTTAGAAGAGAATTTGAAAGATACAATAATATATTGTTTCTAATTTTAAAACTTATAGTCAGAATCTCACATTCTCTTATTAAAAATAAATCATTTATGTGTCCCTAAAATTTTTACTGCTTTCTTACTTTTTGTTATTGTTGCTGTTTTTATTTTTTGATTCCTCTAACTAGGAGGATTATTCATGTTTGAGATGCTTTGCTGCATTGCTTTATCAGAAAAAAACACAGAAACTCAAGAGAAGGGGCGGCCTTTGTGCCAAAGCACATGAGCAAACTGGGAAAGGGCAATAAGATGAGGTATGAGTGTTCAGTTGAGTGGCACATTTCTCTACTCTGTTTTCATTGGTAGCTCACAGAAAATTATGTAAAAGTTAATTTGGTGACTTGATTCACTTGATTATAAATAGTGCCTGAATGAATTCATTTTATGAATATACATTGCAGTAGAATATCGTATTCATTTTCTGTAAATTTCCCTGTTTTCCAATTAGGGATTGCTACAGGTTTTCTATCACCATCTGGTGAAGGACCATCATCCTTTCTCTTTCTTCCCAATACATAGCTCCCTTCTTTCTCAGGGTAGTAGGAGGAGGATAAATAAGATTGCCATACAGGCAATTATTTCTATTTGAGATATTGTAAGAGGCTCTGCATTCTTTAGGCACGGAAGATGATTAAGAAAGATCTTAAGCATGTGGGTGCTTTCGTGGGTTCTTCAGAGACTGTCCCATCTGGACCTTTCCCGTTATGTGGACAATGACTCTTCTCCTGCTGCAGCTTATTTCTCAGGAACTCTCTTACTGCTGAAGTTCTTTGCTATGACATAGTTTCCTCTTGAGCAGACTCCCTTCTAGAATGAGGCCAGATTGACACTACCACAGAAGTCATGTGGTTGATGAAATTCAGGCACTTATTACCTATTACCAGAAAGAACAACAATTATTTTGCAGATGCAGCTCTTTACTCTACAGGTTATTTTATCTTTCCCAAGAATGGGCCAGGAAATAGTCCTCCATGTCCTTCAATTACCAGAACACCTATGCTTCAAATTGTTCTGCTGAAGCCCTTCTCATTATAGCCGGAGTTTGAAGTAGCATCCTTTCTTTGCCCTTTTCTGTTTCTGTTTTTGTTGTTGGTGTTGTTTTGGGGAAAGCAAAACAGACATCTTTCCAAATAAGTTCCATTTTGGAAGTCCATTTTCCTTTTTAAAAAAAAAAAATTCATTGTCTGAATAGTTGTTGCTTTTATTTTGTATATGTTTCAGCTGAAACTGAGGCAGAAAGTGTCCTATTTTAACATCATGCTAGAGTGATTTTCTCTGCAGTGGAACAGTTGTTTGATATTTGAATATCTTTTTACCCAAATCCCTTGCTCCCAGAAATGAAAAGTAAATAAAAGAATTTGTGCCTTTATAGTTTGACTGACTTTTCTTTTCAAGTTACAGATAAATTTCATATCTTAATGTCAGTGAAACTAGGGACTGTCAGATTACATTTATAACTGGTATTCAAAAACATGAAAGGCTCTACTTAAGAAAGGCAAGCATTTACTAAATGCTTATATGACCAATATGATGCATTATAAATAATGCAATTACAGAATGAAAAAAAGATATATTCCATAAAATTTCTTAAAGGTACTATAGTGAGTTAAATGGTGGAGTTCAAAAGATATGTTCACGTCCTAACTTCCAGAACCCCTAAATGTGACTTTATTTGAAAAAATAGGTCTTTGCAGATGTAATTATATTAGAGATTTTGAGATGAGATCATTCTAGATGATCTGAGTAAGTCTTAAATCCAATGGTCCTTATAAGAAAAACACAGAGGTGGGATATGAAGAGAAGAGAAGAAGGCCATGTTAAGGACAGAGGCAGAACTGGTTAATTTTTAAGTAAGAGAAACACATTTCTCACAGTTCTGGAGGCTGTGAAATTCAAGATCAAAGCATCAGATATATTGTTCAGTGAAGGCTTGCCATCTGCTCTGTAGATGGTGCCCTAGTGCTGTGTCCCCACATATTGGAAGAGGTGAACAGCTTGCTTGAACTTCTTTTATAGCGTCACTAATCCTATTCACTCATCACTTAATTACCTCCTAAAGGCCCTACCTCTTAATACTATTATTGTATTGGCAATTATATTTTAACATAGGATTTTTGGGAAGGATGCATTCGGACCATGGTAATCTGATTTTGGCCTTTCTGCCTCCAGAATTGTGAGAGAATAAATTTCCATGGTTTTAAGCCACACCCATGTTGTGTTAATTTGTTACTACAGCTGCAAAACAATAATACAGGTACTTTCTAAGGAAATTAGTTGTGTTAGACTAAATTTCTCTTAAGAAAATAATTCACATATCACCCAGACACAGCTACCTTTTATTTATAATTAATTTAACAGTCCAGGAAAGATGACCCTGGGTAGCATGCACTTCTTCTGAACACAAATCAGATTTCCTCATTTTTTGTCTTATTTACTCTTGATTCTTACTATAGTATGAATTTATTCTGAAGAAGATAAAAAAGAGGGTTGAAAAGTCAAATATACTCTCTGGAAAACATCACATAGCACTTCTTCTGACATTCCACAGGAGAAATCTTGGTTACAGTTCCACACTTGAATGCAAGGTGGGTAGGAAATATGTCTGGCTGTCAGTCAATGACTATGAATGAAGAAGAGAAATGTTTTGATGAAATGTTGGCATAATTTATCAAACTTAGCTTTTCAAAATTAAAGTTGAGTTAGTATTTTGTAATCATTAAGTAACTTACACAAAAATTTGTATATATCCAAATATGCAGTTTTATTTGTTATTCATATGAAGTTTTATAATTTTTGGAATGTACACAAGATAGATCTTCCTCCTCTTTCTAAAGACAAAATAGGAGAAATTTTGCCTCCAGACTGCAACGTCAATCTCTGCTTCTTTCTAGTCCCCTTCCTTCTAGCCTATGCTACAAATTTTAGCCATCACAGTAGCATGCACTAATTCCTTATAATAAATCTTTTATATAGGATCTCAGTGATTCAGAGCATGTGATAGGTTATCTAGTCACAAGGAACAGAGGACTGGTGGGCATTATACTGTAGTTGTTATGAATTTACCCCTCACTTCCAACTTTTTTCTCAATGAATTAACAGGGAAGCCAGTGATAGCGGAAATTTAAGAGGAGAAAGGAATACAAGGTGTGCCTTGTCCCATCCACTTGCTATCTGTAGATGGCTATATGAACATGCAGCCTGCAAATATAAAAGATTCAATAGATGGGATATTGTCCAGACATATGGGTAAAGTTTTAATAAGACATAATAATGTCCTTTTATTTGTGTGTGTGTGTGTGTGTGTGTATATATATGTACACACACATACATCTTATATTGGTTCTGTTTTGCTGAAGAATCCTAATTGATAATTGCACTTTATGAAAATAGAAGGAGATAGCTTTCTATTGTTTTTATTTTACTGATTGCATATGTATAGCATATGTGGATGATGATGTTTTCTTGTAAGCTTTCTTACATGTTAAATTTTATTAAAGTAATTTTAATATATAAAAGGGAGAGTATCAAAGGAGAAGATATTTACCAACAATATTTGAGTGTGTCAATGCGAGTATTTATAGGAAATAAATTTTAATATCAAATTCCCTGCTAGATAAAATAATGTAGTCATATTAAAGGGTGTGAATGCTAGAATAACAGCTTAGAAAACAACGTCTTTGGGAGTCAGCCTGAGAGAGCAGAATCAAAGTCTAATTAAGGAATATACCCCAGTCCTCAGGGAGAAACAATCACAATGATTGCTCAGAGGGATTTAAGAGGAATTTATGTATGTATGTATTTATTTATTTATTTAATTTTTACAGTCCAGTGCTCAATATCTATCTCTCACTATTTTCTCTTCCCAGATAGAAACAGTTACTGGAGTTCTGTAGACCATGTTCCACCTCTGCATATTGCATTTTTTGGAGAGCAGGTAACCTGTATTATTAGTTCATAAGTCTCTGGATCAAGAAAAGCCAAATATATCCTGATGTGGGAGACTACTGTGCATTAACTTCTGATAGAGATAACACATAATCCAAAGGTAGTGGATTTTGAGCTATCTCATAAATTGATAGGGTTTTAAACTCTTTCATTTAGATAGAGGAGTTCATTTTTTGCATAGAAAGGAAAGAGAACTGAATATGTTATTTGTGGTAGAGGCTTCTAATGCTTACCTATATCTGTAGATGGCTATATGAACATGTTTCTTATCAAGCTGCATGATCATATAACCATCTACAGATACCAAGTGAATGGGACAAAGTAGCCCTTGTTTATATTCACCACTTAAATTTTACTATTGGTGGCTTCCCTGGTAATGCCCAGATATACAATTACTGCTGAAATGGCAAAGTCATGTCACTCTAACTGTAAGTTGTTTGTAGAAGTAGCATGATTAACAGCCTTCCATTCCTGAGAAAGAACATTGAGCACACTTTTCCTATGAATTAGTGAACCATGATATATCGTATGGAAAAATTAACTTTAGTTATGTTAAGATCACACTACCATACTCTGTCATTTCAGTTTAACATAGGGCACCTTGATAGATATCTCAGCATGAAACAAATACAACTTAGATAAATTAAAACATACACTTAATATACTAAAAGTTTATACAAAAGTAAATGAATAGACAAAGGAACACAAATAATTCAGTAAAACTAAAATCAGAATAGAAAATGAACAGGAGACCTAATGCCAGGAAATGATTGCTTTGGGAAAGAACAGCCTTATGCGGTGGAAGACTGTTTTAAAACTTGCGTGTTCTGAAATTAATTAAAGTGAGCTTGAGAATTCTGCATTAATTCCAAAACCCATCCACCTCTAAATAAAACAACAAAACAATATGTTTTCTTGTCCTCATATTAAGTGGAAAAAAATTAATAAAACTGGTTATTCCTAGAAGTTGTTGAAATAGATCTCCACTTATATGGTTTCTATTTAATATAACAAACACTATATGATATGGAAAATTCCCAACATAAAACTTAAATCTAAGTAGACTATGTTATATAGAAATCACTAGTTCCACCATTTCAAACTCATTTTAGGAAAACAAACAATAGCAACACTAAGGATTGTGAACACTGGGATTATCAGATATGGAACATAAAATTACCTAATAACTGAAATTATAAACCCAATGAATGAATTGATAAAACAATAGATTAGATCAGGCTGAACATGAAAGTAGTAAAATGGAAAATATATGTTAAGAAATCGAATACATAGAAAATACATAGAAATAAACAATATGTTGATAGGCATGAGTGGAGTTAATGTTAGTAGTCAAGATTTCTAACATAAATATAACTGGAATTACATAAAAATAATAAAAAAGTGCCAGGCGAGGTGGCTTACCCCTGTAATTCCAACACTTTGGGAGGCCGAGGTAGGCAGATCACGAAGTCAAGAGATCGAGACTATCCTGGCCAACATGGTGAAACCCTGTCTCTACTAAAAATACAAAAATTAGCTGGGCATGGTGGCAAGTGCCTATAGTCCCAGCTACTCGGGAGGCTGAGGCAGGAGAATCGCTAGAACCTGGGATGTGGAGGTTGCAGTGAGCCTAGATTGCACCACTGCACTCCAGCCTGGTGATAGAGCAAGACTCTGCCTCAAAAACAAAAAACAAAACCAAAAAAAGATAATAAAAATGTGAAAATGTTACATTGAATATATAATGGATGCTACTTTTTTCAGAAATTATGCAAATAAATCCTCAGATTCAGAAATTCCAGTGCATATTAAGCAAGATAAATAGATTAAAATCCAAAGCTAGGTAGCTACCATGATTGAATCTGTTGAACAAGATAGGAAAGCAAATCAATAGAACACAAAATGGTTTTTATAAACATACGCAGATGTAAATGAATAGTTGAAGCATTACAAACCAGGGAGAATATGATATTGAGACAATTGATCATTTATCTGAAAAGAAATCAAATAAACTCTCTAATTCATAAAATTTAAAAATAAATAAACTTCAGGGGGATTAAAAATTATGTGTAAAAAATATTTAAATAGTGAAATAAATATTTTTATATACTTTTAAGAGAGAATAATTCTTCCAACTATATGGAAAATGATTCCAAGCCAAAAATATATATGTATATTTTTATAAACCTACTTTAAAATTTTAAAATTAAAGCTAAAAATTGATATATTTGAATCCCAAATAATATAAAAAGTATACATAAATATATATAATAGCACTTAACTGTATACTTTAAAATAGTTAAGATGATAAATGTTATGTTAGATATATTTTACCACAATACAAAAATTGAAAAAATGTGTATATACTTTATATAAAAATCACCTAAGAATTATTGTAAATTTCTCAGAGAAATTCATTCATTTTAGGATATTATTTTCAATACAAAAAATTAATAAGCGATTCAATCTTAATTAACTTAGTTAGTATTAGTTAGTGTTCTCCAGAGAAACGGAATATATAAGAGAGATAGATATTTATTATGAGAATTGGTTTACATGATCATGGAGGCCAAGAAGTACCAGGATCTGCCATCTGCAAGCTGAAAAATTAGAAAAGCTGGTCTGAAGACCTGAGAAACAGAAGCTCCAATCACAAAGCAACTATGCAATTTTAACTAAATAATTTCATTTGGAGGGACGTTACTTTTTGAATTTGTAAAATGATTGGATTATACCTAAGCATTTCTGTGTACTACTCAATTGCAATTTTCCAGAATTTACTGGTTTTATAGGGATATTCACTGTCTGGGTGAGGGAGGGAGGATGGGTTTAATATAGCAGGAGTGGTAGTTGAGATTTTCCAATGTACTATGTAGAGAAACAGTCACTACAGTTACAAAATTAAAAGACATCATTTAGTCATATGTAGTTACAAAATTCCTAATTCTCATATTTGTAATTTTCAAGGAAACACAGTAGTTTTACTTTTTTCATGCCTTCCAAAAGAAGAAAAAATTGTGTTTATTTAACATAAATAATTATATGATGCTTAAATCTTTCAAACTCAAGTTTTTGTTTCCCACATCTTAACTTCTTTCTCAATGAAGTTATTCTCATTACTGGTAAACTATGCACACCCACCTGCCCTCTTTCTCCCTCTCACACACTGTGTGTGTATATCTATGTGTGTACATATACGTGTGTGTGTCTGTGTATATGTGTGCATTCGTGCCTTATTAAATTTTATTTTTTATAATCTATGTCCAACATCTACATCAAATTACCTTTCTTGAAAATAATGTTTCTTGAAAAAAATATTACTTTCAGCGTTTTTCAGTGTGTGTGTATGCTCACATATATATATTCACACATATAGATAGATATATGTAGATATGTACAGTATACAGATAGATAAATTTCTAATCATTGATGCTCTTCACTTTGGTATAATAATCACTTACTTCCAAATTATGATTTATGAGTACTTTATAATTAGGAACTATTTTAAGTAAACTTGGTTTTAAAAATAAATATATTCTGTATATTTTCTAAATATTTGAAGATCAATAATACTTTATTGTATGTTTTAATTATAGGACCTCAGATTTAAAGGCTACAGTATTTTCTAATTCAATGATATTCCTGACAAACTTAACTGTAATTTATATCTATTTACTTTACATATTTTCTCATGATTATTGTTTGCTATAATCATGAGATTATAATAACAGAACTTGCAGATTTATTTGTCCCAGATTGAATTTTCACCCTCTACATCTAATGACATATAGTAAATTCACTAAAATCAGAGTATTTTTTATTTTACTCATTTTTCTACCATTTGTATGCAGATTCTTAACATTGTGTATAATGTTTGTTAAATTATCTCGAGATCTTAAAAATGATATTAAGTGTAATATATCATTATCTTAAAATTAAAAATTATTTTCATGGTATTTTTCTAAGAAAAATTATTGTTTTTAATTATCAATTATTACATATTAAGTCAATTATTCTCTTTTCCCAGTGCACGAAACCTTTAATCATGAGGTTGCTTCATGAGTTAAAACTGCCGCCCTCTTTCTCATTTCCCCATTTTCCTTGATGTGGCTTCTTAACTAGAATATTACTTATCTTGCCTTCCCTAAGGCAATGTTATAACGGATTCTGGCAGAAAGTCAGTAATTGCTATGAGGTGCTTGATTCCTTCCTGCTGATTGTCACTGAAAACAATTGAAAATCATTTTCTTGCATATGTTAGTGCTACAAACTAGCTCTTTACTTTTGACAACACTCAGTTCCAAATCAATGACTTTTTCAATTATTCTTATTCCTTCAATTTTTAATTCTTTTCTGCTTGAGAGAATTGCTGTTGGTGTCTCAATTGGTGCTCAGCATTTTCTTAATGTAGGTGAGTTATTTGGAAGAATATTTTAGAGAAAATTCTCTTTTTGACTATATTATAGCTTCATTGCTGTGCTAAATACATGTACTTGATTAAAAGAAGAAAAATGCTTGCACATTCTCTCTGTAAAAGAATGAATGACAAATACTGACTGTAGTCACTTAAAATATACAACACAGTCACATCTTAAAATGTCTGAAAAGTACTTCAGTAGATAAATTTGTTCAACATTGTTTAATAAATGATTTCACCATTTAACCTATTTTTAAATTTATTGCCAGTTATTAGCATCCACCAGAATTTATAGGTGGTTTAAAACATTTGGGCAATGGATAACATTTCTTGAGGAATTCTAAGAGGAATATCATTGTGGGTTAACACTTATTGAAGAAACTGTATGTCAAAAACTGTAACACTATATCTTATGAAATTAAATCACTGAGTTTATTTCAGTACCCGCATCCATGTTGTTGGACTTACTGTGGGAGAAAATATGTGTGTGTGCACGCATGTGTGTGTATACAATAATAGCAAGCTAAAAAGCCTATAATTTATTTTCTCCTTAACTTAGATAATTAGCTTTCCATTCTACTGCATATATAAATTGGTAAAGAAGTAGATATCACTGTTTCAAAAGAATATTCTCAATTTCTAATTCTCTTGACTGTAAATAATATATTGTGTAGAAAATAACAGAAACTAAGATGAAAAGTGATGCAGAAGAGTCAAATCTGAATGTTAAGAATTTGACTTTATTATTTTATGATACATCAAGATCCTCTGGGAAAAACATATATGATCAAAATTCTATGACCCAAATCTATGTTTTGATAAGTCTAAAATAGTGCATTAGTTAAGTAAAATATAAATATTCTACATGTTAAAATCATTTTGTTATAGTTTGTTAGTGTTTTTTTTTCTTTCTCAGTGAAATGCAGAATAATAGTGCATTTTTAAATCAATGATGTCTTAAATTCAATGAAATACAGCAAATGTTTAACATATAGCCAAGGAATTGAATAAGCCAGACTCATCCTTAGTCTTTCCCCCAGTTGTATATCATGTACTTTGGATTATACATACTGAAGAAATATATTTTGAGTTAAAACTATCCATGAAATAAAATTATTTCATTCACTTCATTTAAAATTAATACTGACCTAAGGTATAAATTTTTATTTTGATTGATTTAAATTTAACATGGTTCTAAGGTATTGATTTTTTATAGGAAGATATTAAGAATTTTATACTTACCGGAAGGTGTGAGAAATAGAAATAGAGGACATCAACTGAAGTAGTTAATATTGATTAGGTATTCTTTATAAAAACAAACTTGTAAATGTTTTACTTCTCGAAAAATTTGCCACTCTGAATTAAAAGCTCATGAAATAAACAAATGCATTCTTCTTTCAAAGAAATTTCAGGTCTCAAAGTTTCCAAAATATGTACATATTAAAAACAATGTAACAGCAAGGAAAACTGGCTAGCTTAACAGACTTTAGAATAATTGCTTAATATAATGAATTACGTGTTTTAAATGATTAGGAATGTAATTTCTGTTTTCATCTAGATACCGCTTATTTTGTTTTTTAAATTCCTTGGATTTTAAATAAACTTCAATTTTTAAACTTAGCTAAATAATCCATAAGTATTTTAGGAATGATATTTAAAATGAAGAATAAACACTGAAAGAGACTGTTGGACAAACTTCCACTATCAATTATATCAGTAAATATCATTGGCAATACGGGGCACAGCTAATCTTCTGGGGCTGTTTTTAGGGGCAAAACAATATACTTAATTGCTTTCCAGCCTAGCACTAATGAGGTTGCTTAAGACTTTCTTAATTTTTAATGGGATTTTAATTTTTAAAGGAACAATGCCAAGATTTAATTATACTTCTTTGCCCTTATGGGCAGTTTTCATCCATGAATATAGCAATATCTACAACAAGTCTTGTTCCTTTTTTATACATAGAAAGGAAATTAAACCCAAAAAGTGCTAAGTGACTAGCTAGAGGTCATAGAACTCATCAGTGGAATGGCTGTACGAGTAATAGAACCACAGCTGTCTCTTCTAATTCTGTCTACCAACTCAAGACATTTTCCATTCTTAAACTGCCTGTTTTTCTTATAACAGTGTGAACAAGCATTGAAGACATCACTGGGTTGACAGAAACTTATAAACTTGGAGTTTTTTTCTTAATAATTTTATTTTTCATCAAGCTACATTCTTATGAGAAATTATCTATAATTAAGTTCTGATATATTTTAAATTCTATCAATTCAGAATAGTATAATACCTGGACATATGGTATTGATTCTTTTTAGACTGAATCGTACAGACTTTGCCCTATCCTGCGTCCTTGAATCAGTATTGCAGAAATCCAATTGCCCTACCCTTAACTTCTTTCACAAAGGCTGATTTTAGTATTGTGAGTATGAAGCCTGTAAAATAGCAATGTCCTCTTGGGAATCATGATAATGAAAATTAAACAAACATAGGTACTGAAGCAAGCTTAACAATTCAATGTTGCAAGCAGGAAAATACATGCAGCTCTAAATTTTATCACAATTAACTCCTCCTGTGTTGTTGTTATACACTTCAACTTTCAATGTGAAACTTGTAATTATTTACCTTCATAAATTGTTAATGATGTATTATCTACTTGTCATGAAACAATATAATATTGATTGGAAACTCTTGACAGAAAAAGCATGTAAGCTAATATGTCAGTAAAGCATTCCAAAAGCAACTGATGTTTTTTCTATTGATTTCTCAACCTTGAAAAAAGACAATGAGTTCCTAAACATGCTCTGAGAAATACTCCTTAGAGAGAAGACTACGACTGTGTGCAAATTATTTCAAAAATAACATAGTGCTTTTGAGCCCTATATTGACATGAACTATATTTGAAACTTTTACATATAAGATGGTAGCCTTTGTCAGAAATAAACTTACATGAACTTGCGTACATTTTGATATATTAGAATATGATGAAAGCCTTATGCAAAACAGGTAATCCCTTGCTACATTTCTATTCCCAATATGTAATCTGTCTGCTGTTTGTTTTTCAGGATTTAAAATCATCCTTCAATTTATCTTCTACTATATTTGACTTCTGTTGTAGATATGATGAAGTTGCCTGTAGCAGTTTCAGGCCAGAAAAAAAATGGGAAAAAAATCTGTATGACATTGAGCCAACATTGAACAGCTAGGTCCCAGGTAAAGGAGCATCTTAAAAAGGTGAACCAATGCTCCCTTCCCCTATGATCTGTTCTGCTATTGGTCGCAAAGCATTTGCTGACAAACTGGGCAGTAAGGTGCCGCTAAGAGTCAGAAAAAATTGACAAAGCTTTGGCATCCTTACCAAGCCGAGTAGAACAACAACAACAACATGAAATTTAAGGATCCCCAGACAGAGGATTCAAGGTCTCTAAAAGAAGAGAGGTACAGAGTCCGACTGAAACTCAGCAACTGTTTTCCCCTCCAGGCACTTGCAGATAATTCCGTAGGTGCCTAGAGGATAAAGAGCCAAGGTGAAAGTGGCTGAAAAGCCCAGCAGTTTTCAGAAGACTTACTATACCAAGGTGCCTAGAGATGGGGGTCAGGAAAAAACAATGAGGGGCGTAGGAAACAATGACCTCTGCAGGTAAATCTGGATCACTGCATGGATACCCACCATGTGGGTAGCTTTTCCAGATAGACTGAGGCTTACCGGGACTGAACACCAGCCTTGATCTCTAATTGGATTAAAGTAATTTACTCCACCCTGAGCCTCATGTAACTTAAAGTGGATCTTCTCAGGAGAAAGCTAACATCACAGTAGCAGATGATTTCGGTTCCCTACCAATCCCCACGGATCTTAACTGTTTTACTTTAAATCAATCCTTTTTCAAGATGAGAAAACCTGCATAGGATCCCACTGGTTTAGTGTTAGTGTGGCAGGCCAGCAAGGGTGGGCCTTACCCTAAGCAGACCTTACTTAGTGACAAACACTGCAGTTCCCCTGCCCCTACTATGCAATATCTCCAAGGTGCATGTTGTAATTTATTTCCTGCTTCATCAGTGGGATTACACTATACTTTCCCATACTGGTGATTAATGTGATAATTCAATTTTCAATGGCTTCTTTTCCTTTCCTTCTCCTACTTTCTCACTACCCTACTGGCATTTGTGCTCAGAGGCACAAATATGCTCAAATAAACTGTGTTC
The DNA here is from genome assembly GCF_000001405.40 of Homo sapiens. Taxonomy (NCBI): domain Eukaryota; kingdom Metazoa; phylum Chordata; class Mammalia; order Primates; family Hominidae; genus Homo; species Homo sapiens. Next base: position 69,092,544 of record NC_000013.11, on the reverse strand, counting down.
AAATTCTTGTCCCAGGTTTAGCTTATAGAGAAACCAAATTAACACCATAATTCAATGTTTCTGTACTTCATACAATATCTGGTTTTCAGTAGAAAACTAATTAGGCACACTAAGAAAATGTACAAAGAGAGGAAAAAAAGCCGTTGAAACAGACCAACGGGTGACAATGGATGCTGGATTTCCAAGCATAATTTTTGAAAGAACTGTGATCTTTAATCATCTTCAGTACTGCCCTAACACACAAATTCACAAATAAAAATTTTAACGGTACTCAATCTATTATATAATTCTACAATTTTCTCTTTGGTAACAAGATTTATAATTATAAAGGACCATAAAGTTAATTATTTCAAACTGGTATGTTTCTAAGTATGAAGCCACCAGCTTTTTAAAATCTTGGTTTTGACTCCTGATGAGTTTTCGTGCCATCATGTCTATATTTAAACTTTTAATAAATGTTTCTAAAATGAGAATGAACAGTGCATGAACTACCCCATTGTTCTTTCTATGATGAATAAATATTTGCTTTGGATTTTCATTCTCCTAGTACTCCTCTCACTATAGAATCTTCTGTTCCTTACTTTTTAGGGCTGTTGAAGAGCAGTCATGCCTGTAACTGATGTCTTTTCCATTCATAATGTGTAATGCATGAGGGTTTAATTTGTGAATTCCCCATTTTAAGAATCCTCAAAGTCCCTACTCTCATCTTACTGTGTTGAGCGCTTTGTAAGCATTTGATAAATCTTTTATTTCATCAATTCACACCCTCTCATCAGTTAGGAGACTATTTGCTATATACTGATTCTCACTATATTTTCCACTCATAAAATAAATAACCCTTTGATCGATCATATAGCTTTCCAAAGAGTAGTCACAGAGAGATGAGAGAAAGTGCCTCCCACCTGAAGGAAAGCCTCATTTAAACAATTTTCATGTTGAGGCAAGGAATAACACAGGATACCCTTATTTCCTTATTTTCCTTTAATGCATTTGGGGTATTTTCCTCTTTCATACTAAAATACAAACAGAAAAAATACTTTAAAATGTATATTTTTAATGAATCTAATGCACACACTAAAGTCAGCTTTGAGCACAGTGATTCAGGAATGCATGCTTGAAACAGTTATTGAACATATAATTTTGTTAAAATACTCCTTACTAAATACTTGGTGAATTTCTAAAATGTAAAGTTCATTTAACAATAATTAGAAAAAAATAGTGTGTCATATTCCAACTAACTTGACATGTAGGTAATAATTTGTTTTGCAAAACAGGCTATCTTATAAAACAATGAATTCTCCTTCCACTGTATCTTATGCTTCTTTCTATTTTGATTTAGGGTATATTAAAGTTATTAAATCCACTTGAGGTTGCATGAATTTGTTTACAAAAATGGGAAAACGAAGCACATTATATAAGCCTCATTTATTCCATTACCAAGACTCTTACTTTCTTTAGAAATAATACTAGATAAAGTCACTTGGACTGAAACAGATGGAATTAGGGAAGAATTAAATCATTCCAATTCTGGATTTATTGCAAATCCTAAGAATTACCCAAAAAGGGGAAAAAAGGAAAAAATACTATATTGAAGCCGTGGGAAGAAGAAATAGGAAATGATGAAACTTGCTTTAGAATTGTCAAAAATGTACAATTCTATATGTAGGATTTTGGTGTTATTTTTTTCTCTATGCCATATGCCCTGTGACTATTTCAAACTGCTAACCTGATGGGACCTGGGAACACATCTCTTTGACTCAGTCCTTATCTTCTTCTTTACTTCATAGTACATTGCCCTGTACACAGTGCGAACTCCAATAAATATTTGATGAAGAAAAGATCTGCTAGCAGGAAAACGAGCCTGCAAGGAGTCCAATCTGTGGAATAGTAATTAGGGAGCAATTCCTTATACACCCAGGCAAAACCCTAAGGAAAAGGCTTCAAAGCAATTTCAAGTGAATTCTCCCAGATAATCAACAGTGACCTAATTAAGATTGTAAACAATGATGTAAAGTTGGCCCAATGAATGTCCACTTTATCTACCAAAAATGTTATGTGTGACCAATAAGAGCATATGAAAAAACACATGAAATGAAAAAAATTAGTTTGGCACAAGCTTTTTTCTCTTTCTATATATTTATTTTCTTTTTCTCCCTTTAAATTAAATTAAAGAATTTAATTTTTCTCCATATTAATATTAGTATACACTCACATATATCCCAATGTTCTTCACTCACGTTCAGAAAACATGCTCTGCTCAAGACATATGTTTCCATTTCCACTGTATCACATTTACCTAACATTTCTCATTCCCTCTTGGAACAGTCAAATGGATTCATGTTCCATTTATATAAACTAATTCTTTCCATATCTCATAGATGAGGGATGATTCTTCCCCACTCTCCATATTCTGTCTCATGTAAAAAGAGTTCAAATAATATTATACATCTATCATATTCAATATTTCTATCTACTTACATATCTAATATGTTTTATCTTTACTCCCTCATTCAACTACACTCTCAAAAGTAGAGAAAATAACATCAAAAGTAGAGAAAATAACACAAAAAGTAGAGTTTTGAAGAGAAAGTAGGCATTTCTACACCTGATTTTTTATTTCCTGCTTCCCTTGGGAATGATATTGTGCCTAGAATACATATTCCCCTGTATTACTTCATGCCAGAGATCTCTACCTATATTTAAGTCTGTTTAATTCACAATTTAGTAACTAGGAAAACACTGATTCACATACATGAACCATGCCCTGCAGTTTTCTCTTTATCAGAAAGAAAATGCAATTTTGTCCTCCATGTGTTGACATCTTCGTTTCTCATTAGGTTTGTAATGTATGTTGCACACAAAAGTGTCAATTACTTGGAATCCCTTAATCAAATCTATTTATGAATGCTTCCTTGTAGAGAAAAACCCTGTGTAACACCAATATTAGATTACATGGTCTAAGGAAAAAGAGCCTGAAAAGTGCTTTTCTTACTAACATGAAACATGTTGCCCAATTTTTTATATTTCATTCAAATAAATACACATATCACTTTCACATTTTGTAAATGTTGCTTTCATATCTAGAATGCTTTTTCTTCTCTCTTGTCAGCATGGATAAATAAAAGAAAGTAATATAATACAAAAATATAAATCAAACAAAACTAGTGAAAAAAATGCAACTTGTATCATTATCTTCTCCCCAGCATATAGTCACGAGTAAATTCCATAAAAGAAAAGAAAAAGATCCCTGTGTTAGCTCTTTGATACAGTCTATAAAGGGGCAATAGTCATTTTTACCTTAAAAACTGTGGTCCCACTCTGGCTTATGCTCTGAGGGTCTATTATAGCGGTCCTTCTGTCACCCACATGTCTGCAGAGTCATGAGTTGGTAAATTACAGTGGAATGTACAAATTCCTAGCCCATATGTTTTAGCCTTCCTGCAAAGCCTACTTTGGTACACACAACCTCAAATCTACCTAAATGCTTTATATTATTATTTTGAGTCCTGCAAAAATAAGAAGCAGGTCTATAAGGGTACTCCATAAAAGAAACCATGGGAAGACTTTAAAGAGACCCCCTGAGGAATTTGCTTTTTACAAAAGGGAAAAATTAATAGGATTATTGTGTCTTACCTTTGGGTCAAGAGAAAATTGATTTGAATATTCAGTTAGTTCAAGGAGATATTTGTAAAAAATTCAAGCAACTGTTGTAATCTAATAATAATATAACAAAATACTTCAGACTGAGTAATTTATAAACAGCATAAATTTAGTGCGCACAGTTCTAGAGACTGGGAAGTCTAAGATCAAGCACATTTGGTGTCTGGCAAGGGCTCAGTTCCTCATAGAGGGTGCCTTCCATTGTTTGTCCTCACATGGCAGAAAGGCAAAGGAGTTTCCTCAAGCCTTTTTTTATAAGGATGCTAATCACATTCATAAGAATAGAGCCCTTATTACTTCATCACTTCCTAATGGCCCCAACTCTTAATATTCTGACATTGGATGTGAGGTTCCAAGATAAATAATTTTTTTGTGGGAATACTGATACTCAGACCATAATATTCTGCCCCAGTCCTACCAAAATTAATGCCCTTCTTACATGATAAGTACATTCATTCCATTCTAATAGCCTCCAAATTCTGAACTCATTTCAGTATGAACTCAAAGTCTAAGTCTAAAGTCTTATTAAAATTATCTAATCAGATATGGGTGAGACTCAAAGATGTGTTTTATCCTGAGGCAAATTCCCCTCCAGCTGTGAGCCTGTGAAGTCAAATTACTTCACAGTCATTTGAAATACCATGGTTACTGTGGAAAACCAAGAAAAAAAATTGAGAAAATCAATGAAACCAAAAGCTAGTTCTTTAAAGAGATCAATTATACTGATAAGCTCTAGCCAAGATGACTAGAAAAAAAAAAGAGAAGAAACCATGGTGAAACAAGCATAGGATAGATAGCCCAAGACCTGGTACCACTTTGTGTCTTAGTTTGGGCTGCTCTAACAGTAATAGTATAGACTGCATGATAAGTAAACAGCATAAATGTATTGCACACAGGTTTGAAGGCTGGGAAGTCCAAGATCAGGCCACTGGCAGATTCAATGTCTGGTGAAGGTCCATTCCTCCTGGATGGCAACTTCTACGAGTGTCTTCACAAGATAAAAGGGAAAGTGGGCTTTTTCAAGCTTGTTTTAAAGGGTACTTATCCTATTTGGGTTACCTCTTTCTCCTCATTCAAATTTTTATAGTTTATGTGTTTGGTGAATTTGGTCCATTTCATATGTTATCAAATCGTGGGCATAGAATAGTTCATAGTATCCCCCTTATTACACTTTTAATGGCTATGGTACTGTATTGATGATTCCTCCTTCATTTCTGAAATTGTTAGCTTGTGTTTTCTCTCTTTTTTTCTGGTCATCTTGGCAACAACTTACCAATATAATTGATTTCTTTAAAGAACCAGCTTTTGGTTTCATTGATTTTTTTCCATTTTTTTTTTTGTTTTCAACTTAATTGATTCCTGACAAATAAGTTTTCTTTTCTTGTGTATGTTGTAGTCATAAATTATTCTTTTCTCTCTGCTTTCCTAAATTTAAGATTATTGATTTTAGGTCATTCTTTATTTCTAATATATGAATTTAATGCTCTAAATTTTCCTCTAAGCACTGCTTTCATTGCATTCTAAAACCTTGATATATTGTGTTTTCGTGTTCGCTTAGTTAGACTTGAGAAGTTTCTATGACACGTTATTTAGAAATGTATTACTTGATATCCAAATATTTATATATTTTACAATTATCTTTCTGTTATAGATTTCTAGTATAATTTTACTGTGGTTTGAAAAAATACTTTGTAGGATTTCTATTATAGGAAGCTTGTTAGAATGCTTTTATGACTCAGTATATGGTCTATCTTGGTGACTATTCCTTACGAGCATGAAAAGAATATGCATTCTGCTGTTGTAATAGTTTAAAAATATCAATTAGATTAAATTGACTGACAGTATTGTTCTGGTCGACCATTTTCAACTGTATTAAGTTATTGCTAGTAAATGAGAGACAAGAAGATAGAGAAAAACACCATATGTTGGAGGATGGAAAAATTAAAAAAGAGGATAAAGTCTTAAAGGTGCTTGAACACTGTTTCCTCCTAGGGAATAAAACAAATGTTACTTTCTTTTTTATTTTAGTAATTTTTCTTAAAATATATTCTTATAACTATATAAAATATGCTGAAAATTTAGTAAAATATTAATGGATTCCAATAAAAAATTTATATATAGATTGTCATTTCCAATACAATTTACCCATTATACACAGGGAAAAAAAATCCAAAAAATTAATAATCAAATGTAGAAGTATATGAGCCAAGGCATGTATATATATAAATATAAATATATATACATACAAACATACACACACATATTTGTAAGTGTATATATATACACACATATATACGCATGTATATGAGTGTATATTTAAACATATATGTGTGTATGTAAATACAGATATATTAAAAATATATGGCTGTGTATATACACTTATATTAACATATATGTGTGTAAATGTATATTAAATATATGTATGAACATATATAACATGTTATATAAATATATGTGTACTTACATATATGTTAGCACGAATATGTATGTCTGTACATATATTTTAACACATGTGTGTATGTACATATATGTTAACATAACTGTGTATGAGCAAATGTGTTAACAAGTATGTGTTTATGTGCTTATGTTAACTTATGTATGTGTGTATGTACATGTATTTTAACTGGTGTATGTGTGTACATACATATACATAAACATGTGCAAGTGGTTATACAACGACATATATGTTAATGTGTGTAGCTACCTCTATGTTAAGATATGTGTGCAATATGTATATATATACAAGTTAACATATGTTAACATATGTACATGAATATGCACGCATATACAGGGTAACAGGCATGCACATGCATGTAAATATATATCAACGTTTATATGTGTAAGTATGTACATATATCATAACATGTATATGTGTACGCATATATATAAACATATGTATGTCTGTACACGCAACTATGGTAAAATGTATGCGTATATGTGTGTATTAATATGTTAACATGAATGTCTGTATGTAAGAATATATGTTGAAATATATAACTGTGCAAGCACACATATGTTGGCATATGCGTGTATGTAAATATTATGTCTACGAGTGTATGTATATCTAACATGTGAAGTTGTGCATGCATCAACATATGTTAACATATATGTGTGCAATTACATGCATGTTAACATGCATGTACGCATGTACCTGTATGTTAATATATTTATGTATGTGAATATGTTACAATATTCATGTGTTTGTGATGACGTATGTACATAAACATATGTTAACATGTGTGTGTATGTATGCACAGATACGTTAACATATGAGTGCAATTACGTATATATTAACGTGTGTATGTACATTTGTGTATGTATGTACATATGTGTTAAAATATTCATGTGACAGTAAACATGTGTGTACATAAATATGTTAATATGTGTGTACATGTTAACATATGTATGCATGCGTGTGCGTGCATATATTTCAACATATTTATGTGTGTATGTAAATACATGCATGTTAAAATATAGGTGTGTAGTAGCAGGCATGTAAACATGTATGTGTTTATGTACATATATGTGAATATATGTAGGCAAGTGAGCATGTGTGTGCACAAATATGTTGACATATGTGTGTCCACATACATGTAAACATATGTATGTGTACGTGTACACATGTTAACATATGAATGCACATAAGCGAATATATATCAACACATGTATATGTATATATTAACATATGCATGTGTGATGGATCGTACATAAATGTTCAACTGTATGGGTGTGTGCATGTGAATATATGTCAGCATGTTCATGCGTGTATGTACATGTGTATTAGCATGTATGTGCGTATGTATATGTATACATGCAAGTTCACATGTATGTGTGTGCATATGTGATAACAGGTATGAGTTTGCATATATGTATGGACATATGTGTCTGTATGTTAATAAACATGTATATGTACATAAGTGTTAACACATGTGTGTGTCAATGCATGTACATACGTTTTAACTTGTGTATGTTAAAGTATATAGTAGCATTTGTATGTGTGCTTATACATATATGTTAAAGTGTGGATGGGTGTACGTCCATATATCTTAATATGTTTGTGTGTATATTTTTGTTAATATATGCATATATATATACTTACATATAAGTTAACACAAGCAAGTGTGTAAGTACATGTTAATAAATACATGCCTATAGGTGCATTCATATATATTAACATGTGTGTATATACACATATGTTTACATGTGAATGTGTGTGCATATACATACAAATGAATATGTATCTACATATATCTTAACATGCATCTGTGCAATTGCATGTATGTTAAAGATGTATATGTTTGGAAATATGATAACATATACGTGTATGTGTGTAAATAGATGTTAATATATGCGTGTGTGTGCTAGCATATGCATGCATGTGCTTACATATGTCAGCATATGTTTGTGAGTATATTCATGTATGTTAATATATGTATGTGTGCATGTAAACATATGTATGAGTGCATGTGCCTGCATACATGTTAATGTGTGTGTTAATGTACATATATTTTGACAGGTGCATGTGTGTATGTTAACATATGCAAGTATTGTATGAACATGTTTATATATGTAAGCATGCATGTTAACCCAGGAGGCAGAGGTTGCAGTGAGCCAAGATGGCACCACTGCACTCTAGCCTGGGAGACAGAACAAGACCCTGTATAAAAAATAAAATAAAATAAAAAATAAAAAACAGTAATAGTTCATGCCCATGTAACTGATATGAGAATTTTTTGGTTTGACTGTTTAGCATATGATCCAGCAATTTAAATACTACATCTACTCAAAATACTAAGTTCCTTCTTGGAGTACCTTGACAGATAGAGACTAATCACTATCACATAGAATATGTTGTTTAAGTCTACCCACTAAAGTTAGAATTATACATATATATACACACACAGAGATATATATACACACACAGAGATATATACACGTACACACACACAGAGACATATATGTATTCACACACACATATATATGTAAACAAACTCTTGGGCTGATATAAGCTCACCCAAAGAGTTGTTTAGATTTTTATGTTATTAGGGTTTATGCACTCCTCTGAGACCTGTGTCTCTCTCACTCCTAAGAGATAGACACATTTATTTATACACTTATGTATACAATTTTGTCTGCATAAATTCAGATAACATTTCAGAGAACTGTTCATGATCATCAGTTTGAGAAACTTCAATCCATAGCATGGACATTAAAGACATTTAAAGCAAATTTGTCCTTGCAAAATATGATTCCCTATCTCTTAGTAATAGTGTATCCTTACGTACTGCAGCCTTGTTTTTAAGAATAGCACTTGTGCAAAAGAAAGGGCCTTCACTCAGAGCTCTGATGGTTTTATACACTCATATGCAAAGCTCAGATATTTGGATATTAATTTCCATAGTAGGCAAAAATTATCATTAATAAAAACCACTAATACATCACTGTACTGCAGATCACAGGAGATCAAAGAAGAAAAATAGATTAGAGAAATCAAATGGATTTTGGCTGTGAACAATTAGAAATCCCAAGTGTTTCAGCTGAAACACACATATTCCATGTGAAATAATAACAGCTGGGGGATTATTCATTCTAATTTTAATTCTACAGAGGTCGTTCTACTTTTTAAAGTCTTTCATTAATGGCATGTGTTTGTCCTAATTTACATAATATTTCTTATCAAGTTAAGTTGCTTGAATGTTATTTTTAACAAAATAACCAAAAGGAAATTTGTTTAAATAAAATATAATCAGTACTGAAAATAACTGGTATGTGATCATGATAAACACCAGTGACCTAACTTTAATACAGATATTATTTAATATATTTTGAAGTTATTATTAAAGTTCATAAAGGAAGAGTTTAAGTATTATAAAAATAAAAATTTACCCCAGTATCCTATCTCATATTATACCATTGGAAAATGACATCAAAATGTAACCGACTCACCAAAAACATGTTTACTGTACTTTTTTCTTATAATTATTACTTTAACTTTTTAAAATGTTTTCATATTTAAAGTCATTTTACTTTTTGCACTAATAAAGTTCAATTTGCCAGTTGTTAAATTATTTCTTCTTACCTATTGTTTAAATAGAACTTAGAAAAAAATATATATTTAGCAGAAGTGATACTCTAATCATATTTTTTTAAATTGTTTGAACATGTTTATAAGAGAACATATTTCTAAATTCTTTAAACCTATTTCTTGATATCTGTGGGCGTTTGTCTAATCAAGCCAACATCCCAGCCCACTCAGAGTTGGTTTCTAGTCACTGAGCATGGGTCACATATTCTTTTGATTTTTTTTTTTTTTCCCAAATGATTTATCTGAACCTAAACTAACTTAGGACTCCTATACTCTATTTTCTGTTTTTCCATGTTTAGTGATGTTTTTATGTGATGCTTATGTTCATGTTTTTTGTGTGTGTTAGCCTGATTTCCAAGGATAAATCTTGTATCTGTGCAGTTTATTGTTCAGGCAAGGATTTGGGAGAGGTTGCCGTCAAACATCTCAAGCTTTCAAGGCTTCCAGTCTCTACTGTGTCACTTTGGGAGGCACATTCAATGCTCAACGACTTGTCAAGTCTTCCACAGCCTTCACCCTCTGCCACGGCCTTTTGGGTTTCTTCCAGGCATGTGTGCAGTTTCCCAGTAACTAGGTATTTGTGGGGAGTATATACAGTCATTCTATGAGTCTTTAATTTTAGGATCTCCTGGTCAAATTGCTTGCTTGTCTGCACTTACTCAAACTAAGACCACAACCTTGGGCTAGAAAATCGATTTTTACCCATTTGTTTCCTATCAAGTTCACTACTAATAGAAGACAAAACTGTGTTTTCCCATTCTTTGATGATAGCTGTTTGAGCACCACCACATTCTTATATCAACTATGGGGAAATAGGAGTGGGCTTTGTTAAGAATGTCACAGATCAGTGATTTACTTTCATGATGATCTATGCAGTTTTACATGAATAAATGCTTCTTTAATTGCTCTCTGCCTTTGGTGTATTTATAGACCCCTGGAATGATAGTATGGGTCAATTGGACTTAATATTTTTATAGAGATTTCTTCAATATCCTCACATAACCATTGTTGGAAATTCCTTAAATGTGGTCCTTGGATCCTTGGATTTGCAGTAAATGTGCTTCCCTGCTCCTCAGTGCCCCTCATCTCACACCATAATGTACAAGAACCATGAACACAATTGAAAATTACCAAGAGTTTTCTTTTTGTCTTTTAATTACATATTTGGCCTATGTGAACCATTGACCAATAGTGATGATTCCTGAGACTTCTAGATTGAGCTCTCAGGTGCAAACTTGAATCACCTTGAATGATGCTCAAACTACTGGAAGACATAGTAATAATAATAATAATAATAATAATAATAATCTCTGCCAGGAGGGTTCACAGTCTTGCTACAACAGTCATTTCTTGTGGTAGTAGTGAGAGGGCCTCCACCACTCACCAAAAATCAGATGTTATGCTCATATTCTACTTAGTTTCTAAGTCTTTGACACAAACGCTATTGAGAGGGGACTAAACAGAAGTGGACACATCATAACCTGTGAGTCTCTTGCACTTTGTCCTACTTGGACCCTATCAGTGTTATCATCCCTGTTGTCACTACCACTGCTGCTGAAGTTATGGTTCAGTCTCCTCAGTTATCCTTAGTAATAAAATGTTATTCCACACTTACCACATACATAGCAGTGATGGCAATTCACTGGTACATTTAAAAGTTTTAAAAAGTGATATTTTGCTTATCATGGCCTTTTTGGATTACATTTTAGTTTTCAAAAAAAGTTTGCATTAAAATATTGTTCATCTTAATCATGAAGTTACTTGAAAAAACCCTAAATTTTTTACTTCAGGCAAGTGCTGCACCTGCCTCATTCTAGCTCTGGCCCTTTGGTAATAGCAAGTCCTTCAATGTTAATTTTATCCTTAATTTTATTACATTTTATAATGCCTTATTTTACTAATTTGGTTAATCACATTTTATTTATGTCTACATGGCAATTTCTATAACACACCTTGATTTCTCTTGTCTACTATTTCTTGAATATTCTAGATTTTAAGGTACAAAAGATTAATTTTATAAAAAATTAAAAGTATACACAGAATGTCTTCTATACAGATAATTTAAAAATTTTAATTTTTGTTTATATTTTTCCAATTATGCCCATAATTTTGATACATATGTGCACCACTTCAAGTCTTTGTCACTTTCCACAGTATAATTTAAGATGATTTTTTAATTGATTGTGATTGATAATCGTACATTCATTTATTCATGTATTAATTTAGGAAGCCAATATTTATTGTGTACTTGCTTTAACATATCTTTCCAAATAAGTTTTCTACTGAGAATATTCACTATATATTTTTCTTATAATTTTTTACTATTTAAAAATTGCCATTTCATTTACTTGTCTTTTATGTGTTTATCTCTACTTATTTCCAAACTGTGTATTTGTTTTCAGTCTTTATTATTCTGAATTCAAACATTTCAAATATTTGTCTCATTATTTGCATAAGGATCTAAATTCACCTATTCCATTCTGGAGACCTACTCCTCGGGTGAAATTTATAGACTTTCCTTTGTATCACTCCTGTGTTGGATCTCTGTATTTTTCATCCAAACATTGATATATTTCCTCTTTCTTGGTTTATTCTAGATATTTTAAGAAAAAGTCAATCTATTAGTTTGCTAAAAAATTATGAAGATAAAGTTTTGACATATTGATATTTTAAATTACCTTTATTCTGCCTTTTCCTTTGCATGGGTATAAAATTCTTAGTTGAAAATAATGTTTACAACTAAGAATTTCTGAATAATTTATTCTATTGCTTTCTAGTTCCAGTATTGCTCTTAGGAATCCTAAGCACTGTTTTGCTTCTCCAATCCAATTTTCCATTCTCCAGAATATTTTACTATTAAAGAAAACCTCTCAGTTATAAAATTTCTCAGAGATATGCCATTGGTGATATTTTAAAAATAGTTATGGAGGAGATTCAATGAAAGCATTTTTGAACATTTCTCACTTTACAGATTCTCATAATTGGATACTGGACCACAGAGATTCGTTCTCTCAATTTTCTTGTTCTTTGCCTCATTTTTAGCTCTTTGATTTTTTGCATTTTTTAGCTAAGCTTTTGGAATGTTTGCTTTTTGTTCCTTTTTTATTATTTTAATTGATACATACTAATTGTACATATTTATGGAGTACAGTGTAATATTCCAATACGTGTGTATACTGTGTAATGATCAAATTAGAGTAATGAGTATAGTCATTGCCTCAAACATTTATCATTGTTTTGTGTTGGGAATATCACAATAGCCAAAATATGGAATTATGCTGTGTTCATTGGCAAATGAATGGATAAAGAAAATGTGTTATGTGTACACAACAGAATACTACTTATCCATAAAAAATAATGAAATTCTGTCATTCACACTAACACAGATGAGCTTGGAGAACAATTATGTTATGTGAAATTAGCCAGGCACAGAGAGATACATACTGAATATTCTCACATATGAAAGCTAAAAAGTTAATTTCATTTAATTAGAGAGTAGAATAGTATTACAGTTACTAGAGAGGAGAAAGAGTAGGAGAGAGGAGTGAAATTTTTGCTTTTAATTTTTTATTCTGAGAGTTTTTCAGACTTTAATATTATGATAAATATTTTGTTGTCATTTAAAATTATAGAGTTTGATTCTTATTTTCTGTTCATTTAAAAAATATTATCCAGTTATAGTTCATTGTTAATGTCCTGTGTTTTCTTCTGTACCTGCTCTATTACTGATTCTTTCTACTTCTATATTTAATTTACTTTGCTCTCTGTTATTTACATTTTTACTTAATGGGTAGAACATGCCCATTTGGGGGCTTCATATTGTTGATATTGTTGAGGGGACCCTCATTTATAGCTTCAATCTGCAGAACTCTTCTTCACTTCTGAATAAGAGTACCCAGTCTTCTGCCTATTGGCATAGTCTCCTGGCACAGAGATAAACCTTGAACCATATAACATGCGGGCGTATAGACATTTACTTAATGACACTGATTTTGCTCATTGTTTCTCATAAATTAAGCCAAGTCTCTTTTTTTATGATTTCAGAGTTTATTTGCAAAAGTTCTTTGAGGCCTAAATCTCTTGTCTACTGATAAGGGAAAGGAGGCAGAATTGCTGCTAATAAGCATGTAACTATGTATCTAATCCTCCCATTTTTGCCTGTCCCTTATTCATCTTCTCTGTTGTGCTTTAGGTAACTGAGTCTAGAAAATGTATGTTTCAAATTCTTCTGCGTTTCATGTGGTTAGTACAGAAATGACCTGTTTGGGGAGGCTAAGTAAAATCTGCATTTGACAATGTATTTCTAAAGGTTTTCAAGCAATCCCAAGGCTTTTAACCAAATGCCTTACCTTCCGTTTCTTCTCATTAATAAACTCCTCTGCAACATAACATTCTCAGTTTCTTCATCTCTTCTACACATGCTTCATCTTAAAATAATTGTTTTTATAACTGTTATACATTACTGTTTCTTCTACCATTCTCTTTGCATTTATGAGCATTTCAGCTTTCTTATTTTTTAGTATCATTTTGGCATTATTTTGGGGACAATAGAGGTAAATGTACCTACTTCCATATTTAACTGAAAGTCCTTGGAAGTTATTCTATTTGACATTTTGTATATATGCTGCAGTTTTTAAAATTTATTCTTTAACTGATTCACTAATTTATTAAATAATGTCCAAGTCCTATATTAGGATTTTATATTTCCACAGTCCCTGTATATGGGTTATAATAGCAATATGGTATGCCCTTATTTGGTGGAAAGGACAGAATTTAAATCCTGAACCATGGCTGTAGAGGAAGGCACTATGTTTTCTGCCCGCTATTGAAGTGGAGAGGAGCAATGAATTTGAACTGTGACAGTGTTCAAGAGGATAATATCAGTTCAAAACATGAGAAAATAAGAATGAGAATGAAAACAAAGTGAAAAAAATACAGGCAGTGGAAGGAAGGAAGAGGAAGAAGAGGAAAAAAAAGTAAAAGCATTTAAATGGCCCTATACTTCTTGAAATTTTATGTATATTAGTTGATTGTTATTTTTGTAAAAAACAATGTTGTTTCTTGGGTTTAAATACGAGTCTGTGAAATTCAAGCTTTACTAATTAACACTTTGCATGTATGCAATGAAAAAATCTAGATGTTAAGGTCTGAATATCTTTGCCTAGTAAGGGAAGCTATACAAAATTTACATGGATGTGCATTAAGAAAGTCGGATAAATGATTTTTTAAATGAAAGTGGCACAATTAACTTCCCATAACAAATAAATTGTAAAGGAAATACAGTTAAGGTCATATTAAGCCTATTAGTCATTACCTTTGTAGTCTGTCCTTCTCATTTAATATTAGCACAAACATAGGAAGTAGGAAGGATTGTGTTACTTAGATACTATCCACATGTTTTTAAAACTCAGTGCTTCTGAGGTCACCAGAATATCATTTTTTTGAATTTTGTTCTTTTTTTATCTTACTGAAACAGACAATTTTACATGGTCATTACATTTCACAAAGCTTATGGTGATAAAAAATTGCAACTAATATTTTGAAAAACTAAGGTTAGTCCAAGTATTCAATACTGAATTTTCTCATTCTCATATCCTTGTTTGATACGTTGTTTACTACCACTTTTACACATATTTCTTCAGAAGAATGGTACATACTGTAAAGCTATACATTTACTATATACATTTCACTGTAAAACTTCACATTATTATTACATATAATAAACCAATTATTTTAATTATATATTACCTTGATAATATTTAGCTTGCAGCTTTACATTACTGGACAAAGAACCCAAACTTTAGTATAGTACAAACTACTCTACAAAATCAAATGGTCTACACCCACTACCCTTGGAATACAATAATTATGGATATTTTTACTATCAAAACAATGGTTTAACAAAATCACATCTCTGAAATCGAGTATTTAAACAGAGGCATTTTATATATTCATTCGTAAAGAGTGATAATTCCAAGTACATAAAATTATCCATAAATTGGTTAATTTTACTTAAAGTTAAATTGCAAAATTATACTAGACCAAAAATTAGAGTTTGGTGACCCATAGTCAGATTCCTGTATGTGAAATAATTACTTTTATGACTGATTAAATTTTATAAATTTCTTTATTAGTAGAGAAGAGGTCACATTTCTTTATATTTTCTACGTATCCAAAGACATTTATTGTTAAGTATGAGGAGAAAAGTCTTTTCCTGGTTAAGGGAGATAAAAACACACACAAGAATGTGATGGAACCTGGAGAATGTTAAGAGGTTATTATCAAAAGACTCACTCATACTAAATATTTTAGCACTTTATGCCTTTTTGCTCATCAGAATATTTTCTCAAACAAATTATTTTGGAAAAGCTAAACATTTTTTATTTTGAATATTTAAACAATATTTTTGATATGACACACTTTTCTGGATTCAATTTGCTGAGAAACCTGTTTTACTTCCCTCTTTTATTAAGTAATCTGTCTTAGCTGGTTGAAATCTGTATATAGAGAGATGCAAAGTCTTTGACTAATGTCATCAAAAAATGTAAACCAAAAATATTTGAAGTAACAAAGAAAAACTATTTTAAATGAGAAAAGCCAAAATTCCTACTATTGGTACAATTTAGGCAAATAGTATTTACCCGACATTATTTCAAGACAAATGAAACTGTCAACTGGGTACATTCAAGCCATTAAGTACAGCAAAGTCTGATTGTGCCATACGGACTCTCTCATAAGCAGTCCCTCCAAAGCTCCAAAGGAGAGCCATTACTGACATGCAACCTGTATTTCACCTCTATACCCACTCTTTTAGACTCTCTGAGTTCTATTGTCACTTTTTAAAACAAATATTAATATTCTATCCACTTTTACATTTGATATAAAAGAAAGATCAAACTGAAATAGCAGGAGGCAGTGGCAACCTGCTTTCCATTGTTTTTCATCACCATCTTGTACTTGGCCAAATTCAGTAAAATGGATGTCATTTGTTGTGCAGTGATATATTCCTCTATAGTCTCAAGATTGGACATAAGAAGAAAAAAAAATATAAAGAAAGAAAAACAAATACATTTATCAGCTACTCCCTATTTGTTCTATGGGTAATTAAAGCCCCTAAATCTTCTAGTGTTTTTGTTTCCCAAGGAAGCAATTATTATGATAATGTTTATG
Organism: Homo sapiens; assembly: GCF_000001405.40. Classification (NCBI taxonomy): domain Eukaryota; kingdom Metazoa; phylum Chordata; class Mammalia; order Primates; family Hominidae; genus Homo; species Homo sapiens. The sequence continues at coordinate 69,075,629 of NC_000013.11, read as the reverse complement.
CAGTACACCCATTTATCCTTAAGAGCTATCAAGTCTAAGTCTTGATCCACTAGATTGTAATAGTACAAAAGTAAATTCAAATATCTCTTTGGCAAAAATGTAATATGTCCTGAAGTCTATTCCACATAAATGGAAATTGTTCTTAGCTGAACTCAGAAATAAAATGGAAAATATAATGACTAAGTTTAATACAAATGTCAATCCACTCAGCCAATAACCTTAGTGTACATTATTTACCATGCTAAGTATGGCTGAAGGTATTAAGAAAACCAATTATGTTCATCCTTAATCATCCACTCCCAGTCTTTATGTACTTTCTGACTTGCATATAGATCAGCTGGGGAAATAAGAAAAGTTAGTAAGAATCAAAGCTCCCACTTTTACCATTACCTGTATTATAGCAGTGACCTCTTGCTTCCTTCCCAGATTTCTGAATTGTTTAAATTTATTATAGGGAGGGACTGGGCCATTCCACAAGTTCACATTTAGCATACCCACTTAAAATTGTGTAAAGAGTAAATTTGGCTGATCTCCAATTAGAGAATAATAGAGACAGAATCCTCAATCCCTACATAATAGCCACCTCAATTACGCATTCTCATTAGGCAACACAACCACAGAATATTTTCTCCATTGACGTTTTCCAATTCTCAATTTAAGTGAAATTGTAGAATTCACCACAGTATCATTGTAATTTCCCCACTTACTCTAGAATATTCTGTCTACTCACAGTGATTAGTGTACATTGCCATTTCATATCTTGTAATTTCTTATGCCCTCTGGCCCATATCATTAAAAAGAACTTAAATGCCAGGGATTGGCTGAGTTCATTCCCATCCTTCAGTCAATTGTTTTTATATTCTATGGTTTTAACTAAAGTGACAATTCAGCCTTCTTTTCAAGAATTTTTGGCTCAAAATTTGGACTTCTGTACAGTTGACCCTTCAACAACATCAGTTTGAAGTGTGCATATCCACTTGCACAGGGATTTGCATCCTCTGAGACAACAGGGTCAACCTCTCCTCATCCTCCTTCTCCTCAACTTATTCAACGTGAAGACGACAGGGATGAAGACCTTTATAATGATCAGTTTCTATTTATGAAGAGTAAATATAATTTCTTTTCTTTATAATTTTCTTAACATTTCCTTTCCCCTAGTTTATTATAAGAATACAGTAAATAATACATATAACATACAAAGTATATATTAATTGTTTGTATTATTAGTAAACTTCTAGTCAATAATAGGCTATTAATGGTTAGATTTTTGGGGAATCAAAGTTATACACAGACTTTGTAATGCAGAGAGGTTTGGTTCCCCTAACCCCTGCGTTATTTACATATCAACATTAATTAAATTGAATATATCCAAAATTGACCTGATTCACCAAAGGTGTAGTTGTCACAATGGCTATTTCTCACCTTTTAGAGTCAATAATGTGCTATTAATTATGCCATCAATGTCTCCCTCTCCATTCTGTTATTTGAAACCCATGTAACAATTTCCAATTATAGATTTTGCTAAAGTTCTTTTTGCTTGAAATTTCCTACCTACGCACTTTGCCAGTTTCCTAGGTCTAAATAGAATTCTTCCAAATTCCATTGGGAAGATTTGTCTGCTACAATATTCCTAAAGCCATTTGGAACTTCATACCAAAGATAAGGAGAGAGTAATTGTAACAAAATGTTGTCATCTTTTTCTTTTTACATCTCTTTCATTTCCTTTTGTCCTCCCGTCAGAAAAATGTATCAGACATTAGATTGCATGGCTATAAAAGACAAAGCCATAGCTGCAATGAATTTATAATACAGTATTAAAAGTGTTGAGTTGTTAAGAAATATTCACTTGAAGTATATTTCTTATTCAACAACAAATTTTGCTTACTCCAAATTAATAAAATGTAATCCAATGATACAAGTAGATACTAAATGGGAATGTGACTTTTTTTTTCTCAAGAAGACCAGACCTATATAAATGCAGGTGCCTAAATTTCATTTTCCTACAACTGTGATGCAAGTTAGTTTGGAAGTAACAGATGAGCACTAATAAAGGGAGCATTATACATCATCTCAGATGAAGCAATTCAGTTTTGGGGCATCTTACTTTTTTATACATATGCTCCTCTCCTTAACTTACGATGAGGTTACATCCCTGTAAACCCATGGTACATTAGTCAAAAATGCATTTAATACATCTAACCTACTGAGCATTATAGCTTAGCCTCATCTACTTTTATTTTTTTTGAGACGGAGGCTTGCTCTGTCGCCCAGGCTGGAGTGCAGTGGCACGATCTCGGCTCACTGCAAGCTCCGCCTCCCGGGTTCACTCCATTCTCCTGCCTCAGCCTCCCGAGTAGCTGGGACTACAGGTGCCCGCCACCACGCCCGACTAATTTTTTATATTTTTAGTAGAGACGGGGTTTCACCGTGTTAGCCAGGATGGTCTCGATCTCCTGACCTCGTGATCCGTCCGTCTCGGCCTTAGCCTCATCTACTTTAAACATATTCAGAACACTTGGAAAAATAATCTAACACAATGCTTATTTTTAATGTATCTCTCTAGAGCTAAAATGATCAAGGGTTGACTATCTCATGTAATTTATTGGACATTATACTGAAAGAGAAAAACAAAATGGCTATATGGACACTTATAGTTTCTACTGAATGTATGCTACTTTCAAACTGTGGTAAACATTCATGAGTTGATCCATCATAAGTTGGAGACCATCTGTACTTGGGTGATCACTCATCAGAGGAAGAACTATGTGACAAACCTCTCCAGCTGTGTTTAAGAAATCCATAAATTCTGGTATTATTTACAGCAACAATTCTAAATTAAATATGAGGATTCTGTTAAAAATATCTTGATAAAGAAGTCTCTGGGTTTTCTACCTAGTAAATATCATCAGAATGTTTACAAAGGAGTCTAATCACAGTCAGCTGCCATACTGCCATAATGTCATAAATATTAGCTATTCAAAAACTTATAATAAACTTCAAAAGAACTTAAACTCCACTCCGTAACAAAAAGGGAAAAAAAGCTATACGCACTTTATATATTATAATTGTATTTGACTACATTAAAGTTAGACCTGACCCTTCCAAAAGCGTAGTTAGAGTAGCATTTTTTGTTTGTTTTTACAATGGGGTAGGAGCTGAGAACGGGCTTGTAGCTAAGAATGGGCTTCACTATTTCTAGCACAGTCAAGGAAAATTGTTCAAAAAAATACATGTTTCTACATTATTTCATGTTCAGAAGCTATATCCTGATAAACATGAAATGTACATCAAAACCTGAGAAAACTGTACAATGATATTTTATGTAGAATGGATGTCAATAAGTTGGTGTTTATTCATAGCTCTGACAGTTAATTATGAAGAATTTAAGAACATTTAGGAATATAATTACTGTATTAGTTTGTTAAGACCACTGTAACAAAATACCACAGACTGAATAGCTTAAATAATCAAAATTTATTTTTTACGCAGTTTTGAAGGTTAAGAAGTCCAAGATTAAGGTATCTGTGGGTTTGATTTCTTCTGAGGCATCTATCTTTGGCTTGCAGAAGGCCACCTTCTCACTGTGTCCTTATGAGATATTTTTCTCTCTGTGAGTAAACAGTGTCTCCCTGTGTGTCCTAATTTCTTTTTCTTGATCCAGTCAGATTGAATTAAGATCTACTCTAATACCTTGTTTTATTTAATTTCCTCTTTAGAGGCCTTATCTTTACATACAGTCACAATTCAAAGTGCCTGTATTTCGGGAATTTACAGCTTTGACGTGAATTTTGGAGGAACACAATTCAGCCTGTAACAATTACTTCATCCTATCCAGGTGTACTAAACTATCATTTATAGATAATGGCAGCAGATGTGTACCCATATTCATATAAAACTATGATGTTATTTGAATTCTGGTTCCTCCTGCAAATACTGTGAAATCAAAATTAGTTTGGGAGAAATTACTTAACTAATCATGCAATTTATATAAATCATGAAGAAACTTTTAATATATCTCTCTAGAACTAAAATCATCCAGATGTTATTTCTCCTTTCTGCCTAAGAAATTACTTTTGTAATTTGCAATTCTTTGTGCTATTCAAACACTGTATCAATAAATTATAACTGTGGTCATATAAAGTGTTGACTTTTGTGCTTCATACTAAACTGCATTGTAGAAGAGAATGTCTTTGTTTAAAAAATGATATTTTATCCTAAACACCACACAATCAGAATTGTATAAAATTAAAATCAATGCTTTAATAGTTGATTTCTGTATATTATATAGTATAGGATATATGATATATTTCATTTAAACCTTTTGTTTGTGTCAATACACTTTTCTCACTAGAGTGGGGAGACAGTTTAAATAATGAATTTATATTTAGTTTCTATGAAACAGCATCATGAGAGATGTGATTAAAGAAAATACAGTAACATAACAGGTAAATGATAAAAGTTCTTATAATATAGAAAAAGAATGGTACTTTGTTTATAGAGAACTACTGAGTCGAGGTATATATTATAATGCTTCAATCAGAGACCAGCATTTACAATGTTTCAATTCAAAACAGGCAACTGTCAAGCACATCATCTAATGAAGGTTGAGATACAATCAGGTTTTTCAAGAAACCCACTCATCCTTAAATTTCTAAAGATTACTCTTATTGTTCTAGAGGCTCTAGCTAGAAGGTTCTTGCTGTCTCAAAAAATGCAAAAAATGTGTAACAACTCCAACACATTCTGAGTTAATCCAATAAGCTACATGAATCTAGGATTAATTTATCAGATACAGTGCCACTGGAAGACAGAATCGAAGGTCACTGAAGGGCAATTGTTGAAGTCCACTCTCTCCCCTCACTATCAAGTTAATTGTCCTCATCTTTTTAGTCTTTTAAAAATATTAATTGCATATAAGGTAGAAAACCAAATAATGCCCATTATCATAAAAACAATTACTAAAAAATCCCCAATAATGAAAGCGTGTTTAATTTGAACAACACAAAGTATTGCATATTACTTATATAAATAAATTATTTTCCCTATTTTGATCACTTTTCATAAGAAACTGCTATTTCAACTCTTGCCAGTTAAAACTAATAATTTTTATAGCTATTAAAATTATATAAATAATAGTAGTAATATCTACAAGGTAGACTCTATCATAAACACTATTTTTGGATAGCTTAAAAACCATTCTTGCTCTTTAACTACAAAGAGATGACTCAGATTTATCTATTCTAACCATAGAATGCGTTACTCTCTAAGGAATGCTGACTCTTTTAGAACACCAAGTTGTTTCCTAAGATACAAAATAAATATACGCACTCAAAACTTTTCAACACTCACGTAACATAATTCAATGATATGGTAACAAGCATATTCACAATACTGTGTCAAAATATAATTTTTGAATATCTGATCAATGAGGAAAAAATACTCTTCTCTACACAACTAGAAAATAGGCACATATATAAAACAATATTTTTAGACAATGAACAAAAGTGCAGAAATATGATCTCTGAGAGAGGGGAAAATGAAGTTAATCCTCCCATTGCTTCAGCTTACTAACACTTAGAGAAAGCTCCTGTAATGCAGGCACAGGGAAAGGAAATCCAAATAGAAATTGCCAAACTTGATGAGGTAGAGACGGAGATAGAAATGTATGGGAGATGAGGCTAACAGAAGTTGCAGGAAAAATTTTATTTCTTATGCAAATAAAGGCTCTCTGAATATTTATAAGGACCCATTTGAGTCTTTGCTGGGTTCTACCTTCTCTGGATATAAATTTAAAAGTCACAAAGTAGTCAAAGAATGACAGGACAGATGCAAACTAAAATTTCAGGAATTACACAAAGCAGAGGACATTTGAGCTCTGCCTAATCAGAGTAGAAAGTACTTAATCATTTGAGGTACACAATGGAGACTATAGAGAGTGATGTGTCTTAGTAGTCAGGCTGAATTATACCTAGAATGAAATAAAATAAATGCCCATCCTTTGAAAATCACTTTACAAAGTGAAGCAAGCTGCAGGGAGATAAAACCTAGTATAAAAGTTTTTGGCAGGCAAAAATTTATTTGCCTGCCAAAAAAAGGCTGGTACCAAAAAAAGCCTGGCAGTAAAAACAGAAGAAACAAAGTTGAAAGCCAGAACTATGTAATATTTACAATCCAAAATCCAATAATAAAAATACAACAAACAACAACAGAGATTAAAAAACTAGTGGGCATGCAAAAAGCAGAACTATATAATCCATAAAAAATTTAGTATGGCACAAAGAGTTCCAGGAATGAGAGAGATGATGAAGCTAGAAGACAAAAATGTTAAAGCTAGTATTAAAAGTGTTTTCAAGTATTGAAACACAACATATACACAGACAAGTGGAAAAGGTGGCTAAAAGTGTAGAAGAAAAAAGATAAAAATAACAATGTTTTATATGAGTGAAAATGCAATTTAAAAATGAGAGTATAATTGGATTTTTTGAGAAAATAAAAAAGAACGGAATAATAATGAAATGTAAATTGTAAGCAGAACAATGGTATTAGAAATGTTATAGAAAATTATTCTCATAGAAAGAAAATGTTGCATGATAGAAAATTGTGTCTCCACAGATAATGAAAACATTTAGAAATTATAAATATATAAATAAATATAAAATGCATTATAGTAGCAGTCTTCAAGACGTCTTCTCATGATCTCCACCTTTTAATATTCACATCTTTGTGTAATCTTTCTCCTCTGGAATGTGGGCAAAATGTGTGACTTACTTCTGATGAATAGAAATTGTACAAGTTCTAGGAAGTCACTTTTGTGTCTAGGCTACATGGGATCATGACTTACTGTATTCTGGCAGACTCTATTGCATGAGCACCTTCCTTGGTTTGGATGAAGTCAGCTGCCATGTTGTAGCAACACCTGACAAGGAATCGAAGATGTTCTCTTGCCAACAGTCAGCTTGATACTGAGACCCTCTGTCCAACAAATTTTGAGGAGCTGAATTTTTTCCAGCAAATACGTGAGCTTGCAAGTGGTTAAGGTGCTGAGTCAAACACTCAGGATAATTCAGCCCCTGGATGTTACTACCTTGATTTTCGCCTTGTGTGAAAACCTAAAGAAGAGAATCCAAAAGTTATATCTATTTTCCCCAATGGACAGAAACTGTGATACAATAAATATGTATTATTTTGAGCCTCTTAGTTTGTGGTAATTTGTTATACACTTTTAGATAACTAATTTATTTTTTTCAGTTTTTAATAGGTAATTGACAGATTGGAGCAAAAACTACAATGATTTATAGAGTTCATAATACATGTAGAAGTAAATCATATGACAGTAATCAATCCAGAGTTAAAAGGGTAGAAATGGAAGTATAACGGTGTAAGAGTTTAACATTACTTGCACTTACATAATATTATTTTAAGGTAGATTATGATAAAGATGCATGTTTTAAACCATAGAGCAATAAGTACAAAGAACACTGACAAAATTAAACCAAACTTTGTTACATATTAATCTGATGATAGAGTATAAAAATGCTAAAAAATTATTTAGTCCAAAAAATGCATTAAAGATTGAAAAAATAACAAAGAACAGATAGGTGATATAGAAAGCAAAAAGCATAAATGCATATTAGAATTCAAATTTATCAATAATCAAATGAATTTAAATTAAATGTACTAATAACTAAAAGACAGTCAAATTAGATGCTTTTCACCAAAATCCTACTTTAAGTTTAAAGAAAAAATGATAAAAGCTACATATCATGAAAATTTTAAGCATAACAAAATGGAGTCATTATATTCATAATAGAAAAACTGTATACTTGTAAATTAAAAGTTCCTTCAAAATAAATTAGAAGGAAATGAATATACAACATAACATAATTTATGAGATACAGTTAAAGCAGTGCTTATAGCAAAAATTGTGGCTTTAAATGGTTTTATCAGAAAAGAAGATAAGTTTTAAATTAATAATGTGAGTTTTTCACTGGAGAGAAAAATAACTAACATATATTGAGTAGAGCAAAGGAGGAAATAAAAAGCAAAAATTCTCAAAAAAATTTCTTAATGACTTTAATTAAACTTAGCAGAATTAAAAAAGAAATGAAACTGTTTGTAGAAATTGAGGATAAACAAGGGGACATCAGTGCAAACCCTACAATATGAAATAATAATCCAGAAATATTTTAAAATATTTTATGTCAGTACATTTGGCAATCTAGATAAAAATGCATAACTTTCTCAGAAGTCACATATTACCAAAATGATTTAAGAATAAAAAAGATCAATAATAGTATATATTTTGAATGAACTTGTAATTATAAATCTTGACATAAAGAAAACTCAACACGCAGAAAACTTTATTAATGAATGATATGAAGACTTGAAAAAAATACCTTTATTCCCATTCAAATTTCTTTATTATATAGAGAATCAGAGAGTCCTTTCTTAATCATATGAGGATGCTAAAATTACTTTGATAGCAACACTGAAAAAGTAAGAAGAAAGAAACTTAAGCTTTAGGATGTCAGCTATAATGCTTTGGGACTATGGACTAAAAATACTGAACAAAACATTACCACTAAAGAAAAATATGATCAAATATGATTTTCTAATAACATCTATGTGTTGTTAACATTTAAACATCAATTGATATAATTTTGAATATTACTATAATTTGAAATAAAAGTAAAATATATAATTATCCACTCAATCCATGCAAGGAAAAAAATACATTTTCCAACACTCAGTACCATTTATAATTTAAACTCTCAGAAAGCCAGGAAGAGAAGAAAACTTTCTCGATCTTAAATTCTATAATAAAAATAAATAGCTAACATTATACTTAATAGTTATAGACTAAATGTTTTCCTCCTCAGAAGGGAAACAAAAAAGATATCTATCTGTTCTCATCATTTTTGGTTAACATTGTGCTCACGGTCCTAGCTAGTGCAATAGGCAAGGGAAAGAAATAAAGAATAATAAAGATAATGAATGGGTCGAATAAAATTTTGTCAATTTGTGATGGCTTGTTTGTGTGTTAAAAAAGTCGCTAAAATGTTCAATGAAACCAAAAAGAAATCTTTTACAAGCTTGAGAGCAGTTAAGTGAGGCTACTGGAGACAGGAACAATGTGATAAATAAGCAATTATATTTATAAATAATAAGGAGACAACTGAAAATTGAAATAAGAAAATACCATTATCATTATCATCATAAAATAAAATGCCTGAGTATCAGTTTATTCAAATATTTGTAAGTTTTGTATGCTTAAAACTGCAAAATATTACTGAAAATAAGTAAAGATGTAAATGAATGGATAGATTTACTAAGTTCTTGGATAGATTTTGAAGCTGTCAATTCTCTCCAAATTAATCTTTATATTCTATGCAAACTGAAAAATACACAAGTAGGATTTTTTTCTGAAGGAATTGATAATAATTTATTTGAGTCTCAGAAAGTGAATTAGGATCTTTTTGTTGGATTTTTAACAATTACTATGTCAGTCTGGAGACATTTTGGAAGTATAGAAAACATTTAATGTTGATCTCGGGAAGCCAAGGGTTTGAATACGGTGGATATGTGGGGAAAGACTTCTAACAACATAGAATAAGAATTGCTTAAAACTAGAATTTCTATTTTAAAGAGAGACAAAATTATAATATGCAAAAAAATGTAAATTACTACAATTTTCTATAGAACAATTGTCCAAATGTGTCAAGTTATTTAAAGTACGCATATGCCACAATACACTCATTATTCTAGAGTTTAATATAAGAGTGTGATTAGTTTCCATTTTTATCTGAATAATAGAATACTATTTAAAATAGTAAAAAGTTGACGAAGCAAATATGCAATATAAAGAGGATTAAATAATAATGGAGTGCTATAGGTTTTAAAATTAAAAGCGATGAATACATACAAATATTTACATTTCAAAAACATTTCTTATATATTATAAAAACCTGGCTATAGGATGGTTATGTGTATTACATCTGGAAACATATTTGTAATAGGAAATATTTCATCATATACTCCATGGGAAAAATATGGTTACAAAAGTTAACAGAGGTTTCAGGTAGAAATTTACTTGTAAGTTTTTTGTTTCTTTTTGGCCAATTTGTATTTTCTGTTGTGTCTTCAAATACTATGGTCCATTGGGTAGGACTAATAAATACAGCATCAAGAAGTTAAATTGAGCTTTTCTAGAAAATTTAAAATCGTGCTTCTTTAGGGTTTGAAATTCTATATAACATAAAAATGAGTAAGGAAACAAGTAATAGAATGTAATTAACATTATGTCAGAAATCTGAAAAATATTTTATTTCTTAAAATCATTGAAATATTGGTTACGATTAATATTTACATATACATCTGATAAGTAAAATTTTTATAATTATTTCATTTTGAAAAATTGAAGTTAACCTGGTTTTATGACCCAGTCCTGCTTTGCTAATTCTAAAATCTGTTTCTTATAAAATCTTACCAGATCATTGAATCTTGCTTATTTCTGAATTGAAAGCTTAAGTGTTTAAAAATCTTATTGATAAGCCTTCTTTACCAGGTATTTAGAATTTTGTTAGGTGCATTTTGATGATTAACTTTAAAATTATCTCTTTTATTTATTTTACTTACTCCTTTTAATTCAAACATATTTTGACTTGTTCTATTAATTTTAAGATTAACTATTTAATATTTAAAACAATGGAATTATAAAATTTTATGTTGATCACTTAGGTGAGATTAGATCATTCCTTAATATTATACTGTATTGTCCTTAGACATATTTTAAAAATAATAACAATGTATTACATACAATTGAAGCCCTTTTGCTCTCTCCTTCATTTCTGTTCTCTATATTGCATTTTAGATGTTACTTTGCCATTCATTTTTTAATGTGTATATGCATATATTTTAAACTGCTTGTACACGTGCATTTTTCTTCTGCAAGCTGGTCACATCTGAACAAAGTATTTTCTATATATATCAATGTTGTTAAAAGATTGATCAATAAATTCAGTGTAACTGCCGTGTAGTATGTATGATATAATTAATGTCTGACTGATATAAATAAAACAAAACTACACATTTGTCACTGTTACTTTTATATTGCTTGGGGTTCTTGAGTAACAAACTACATATTCATTGTCCTTTTTGTTCTCACTTCAATTTGCTTATTGTAATTTAAAGTGAGGCACCAAGTGATATGACAATTCTTTCCACATTTAAATGTGAATATTTTGTAAACGATGAAACTGCAAGACGTTTTGACAATGCAACATTGTAATTATGACAGTAACTCAAGAAACATGATAAAGATCATTCAATACTGTCTACGTTGTCTTTTTCTTTTTCTTTTTTCTTGTTATTTTTTAGGTGGAGTCTTGCTCTCTTGCTCAAGCTAGAGGTCAGGGGAGTGATCTCGGCTCACTGCAACCTCCGCCTCCCAGGTTCAAGCAATTCTCCCACCTCAGCCTCTCGAGTAGCTGGGATTACAAGCATGCACCACCACTCCTGGCTAATTTTTGTATTTTTAGTGGAGACTGGTTTTCACCATGTTGGCCAGCTTGGTCTTGAACTCCTGACCTCAAGTGATCTCTCTATAGGTACTTTTTGTTTGCTTTCTTGCTTGCTCTCTGTTATTTTCTCCAAAATAATTTTACAGAAATATATATCTAATGTAGAAAACATTTTTTAATATTCTAATTTTGTTCATTTTCTTAGGCAGGTCCATTTACTGAATATCTTTAACAAGAAATCTATGTTAAAAAAATCTTTTAAAATGTGTGTGGGTGGTTTTTTTTTTTTTTTTCCATATCAAGCAGAGTGTTAGGAAAGTTTTTCTTGCAAAAGTTGTGCCATGATTTTATGACCTGGTTGAAATTATAGAACTTACCAGGATTTCTATATATAATTATGTTTTGATTATTGGATTTGAAACTATATCCTGTGCTTTTCAAATTATGTCAAAATTAATTCTTGTTTGTACAATCTTCCATGACCTAATTTATGAGTCTAAGAATTCCTTCTGAGCAGAGTTGGGATCTGGTCCCTGAATATGATTTAAGGTGCAATATATATATATATATATATATATATGTTTAATCTGTTTGATCCAACATTCTAAAAAATTCTACATTTTTGGGAAGTACATGTAAAATAAAGACTACTTTATTTAAGTATTCCAGGGGGAACTCATTTTTAAACTGTCATTGAATAAATACTCATGACTATTTAACATTTTCAATGAACCCTTTTCTAAATCTACATAAAATATTTATCCCTTGATAAGTCATATATGGATGACAGCTTAATTCTCATTTATTTTTATTATGATAGGGGTCCATAAGATAATACAAATAATAATATTGGACTGATGAGGTCAGGAAAGCTCACTTTACATAGGGAGTACTACTACTATAACTAAAACCATTATTGTTACTCTTACTACTTTTATTATAATCATCTGCATAAATTGTCATTTAAAAAAGATGTCAATTATAAACTAGCAAAGGAGTCATAAAGAGAAAATTTCTAAAATTTCTAAAGTTTTACTCTAACCAGAATATTGGAGGCTGTTTAATATAAAAGGGAAAAATGGTAAGATGTTCAAATAATATGATTCAATTTCCCAAGGAACAATAACAGACTATATTCTACAGACAGAAGCCAAAGACTTCCCTTGAAGACACGCATGTCCCCATGTTCATGCACATGGTTCTTAAAATAAATTAATTTTTATGAGGCAGAAAAAATTCCCCCACTATCTTGGAATAAGCATTGTTAAAAAGAAACAGATATAAATATCAAGGAATTGAAGCAAGTAACAAATTAGAGGGCGGTAAGAGGCATCGCTAGTGGAATGGAGATGAGCAAAACACCTGTGAGTATCTGCTCTGTGTGTGGCTATATGTTGTGTGTGTCTGTGTTTGTGTGTATGTGCAGCTGATTGAGGAAGGTGATTAAAGACAAAGTTTTTTGAGAGCAATAACATTTAGCTTTAACATTTCTCTCCTTTCATTTTTTTTCTTTGCTGAGTTTTGAGAATAACAAAGTGAAAGTGTTGGCCATATCTGTTCCTTTGGGTTTTTTAACTTTTATTTAAGTTCAGGGTTGCAAGTGCAGGTTTGTTATATGGGTAAACTTGTGTCATGGGGATTTGTTGTACAGATTATTTCATCACTCAGGTGTTAAGCCTAGTACCAATCAGTTATTTTTCCTGATCTTCTCCCTCCTCCCATCCTCCACCCTCTGATAGGCCCATTGTGGGTTGTTTTTCTCTATATGTCCATGTGTTCTCATTATTTAGCTCCCACTTAAAAGTGAGAATATTCAGTATTTGGTTTTCTGTTCCTATGTGTGTTTGCTAAGGATAATGGCCTCCAGCCCCATTCATGTTCCTGCAAAAGACATGACCTCATTCCTTTATAGCTGTATAGTATTCCAAGGTGTATATGTACCACATTTTTCTTACCCAGTCTACTATTGATGTGCATTTGGGTTGATTCCATGTCTTTCCTATTGTGACTAGTGTTGCAGTAAGTGTACATGTACGTATGTCTTTATAATAGAATGATGTGTATTCCTTTGGGTGTATATCCAGTAATGGGATTGGTGGGTCGAATGGTATTTCTGTTTATAGGTCTTTGAGGAATCATCACACTGTCTTCTGCAATGATTGAACTAATTTATGCTCCCACCAACAGTGAATAAACATTCCTTTTTCTCCACAATCTTGCCAGCATCTACTATTTTTGGACTTTAATAGCTATTCTGATCAATGTTAAATGGTAACTGATTATGGTTTTCATATGCATTTCCCTAGTGATCAGTGATACTGAGTTTTTTTTTCATATGATTATTGTCCATATGTATGTCTTCTTTGCAAAATTGTCTGTTCATGTTGTTGGCCATATATGGCAAATTATTACAAAGAAATATAAGCAGCTTGGCAATGCTAGTTATAAAACCCCATAAAGGGAACTACAGGAACTGGATTCAGAGTGAAAGTATTCACAGGAAAGATAAACAGAATGAATTTACATCATTTTAAGCATGTCCTACTGTCAGTTGGCTTGGCGGCTTTTCTATTGTTATTTGAAAAGTATAGAATGATGAATGATGGGAACTGTAATATTTAGCCCAAATTATTCCTTTTGTCCCTCTTTGTATATGTGTGTGTATATATATACATATATACATACATATAGATACACATATATACACACACGTATATGTATGTATATATATGCATACATATACACACACACATATACATGTATATACTCATATATAATATATACATATATATACATATATGTGTATTTGGATAGTTATATGAATAGATATTTCTCTTCTTTTTATTCCTTTCACTCTCCTCTTCCTGCCCCTCCTCTTCCTCCTTTCTCCTACTTCTCCTTCTTCCCCTCTCACTCTTGGTCTCTCATTTGCTATTATTCTATCTCTATTACTATCTTTCTCTTCTCTCTATTTATAGGATTTCTTTGAACAAAAACTGCTTAATAATCATCTTACTGATTGTCAGTTGTCATTGCTTTCAATAAAATCATTATCTAAGGAATAATATTTAAGGCAGAATCATCTGTATATATCACTCTGTGACATATTAATACTCATTAGCACTCTGCCAGAATTGAGAACACTTAGTAGAGATACTTTAGCACTCTGCCAGAATTGAGAACACTTAGTAGAGATACTTTAGCACTCTGCCAGAATTGAGAGCACTTAGTAGAGATACTTTTATTGTAAAGTTAGAAAAGTAACAGTAATCTGTGTCTAATATTATAAAAGTCACCTTGATCTTAAAAATACCAAAATGATCTGATAATCTGACTTGAGTCATATTGTCATCTTACAATAGACGCACAACACAGAAAAAAATGTTGAATGGGTAAGTCAGCTAAGGGCAACCTCTCTTTTTCCTCTGAACTTACATATTTAAATCCAGTATAATGTTCAGTTCACAAATACAGCATGTTACCACACAAAATGACACTCAAGCAAATACCTGTGCTACTTAAACTTGAAACTATACAAATGTCAACTTTTGCATAATGATGGCCACCTTACTACCAAATTGATCTATAGTTTATTGACTATGTAACACATATTTGATACTAAAATTTAGGGTATACAATAGTATAGTTTCATCCAATAAGAAATTCAGGCCAGGCGTGGTGGCTCACACCTGTATTCCCAGCACTTTGGAAGGCTGAAGAGGGAGAATCGCTTGAGCCCAGGAGTTTGAAACAAGCCTGGGCAACATAGATAGAATCTATCTCTACAAAACAATTTAAAAAATTTAGCCAGGTATGGTGTTTTCCACCTGTAGTCACAGTTACTTGAGAAACTGAGGCAGGAGGATTGCTTGAGCCCAGGAGGTTGAGGCTGCAGTGAACCGTGATTGCACCACTACACTCCAGCCTGGGTGACGACAGAGTGAGACCTGGTCTATAAAATTAATTAATTTACTAATTAATTAAATTTAAAAAATTCAATTTAGTGGAAGTTAATGACACATGAGAAATTATCTACAATTTTCTAATATACAGATTTTCACATTAAGATACAAATGCCTGAAGCACACAGAATCAATTTCAAAATCCACATGTTCATATGTGGAATATTCAAAATAGCAGTCCTACTAATGCTAAATATAGGTAAATTATGCAATTTACCAGCAATTTTACTCCTATTTTTATACACTATAGAAATACATATATAGAAATATATGCTCAAGATCAGTCATAGCATGCATAGTATGCTATTCTTAGTAGCAACAATGTGAAAACAACCCTAAATGTCTGTCAGTACTACAATGAATAAATACATTTATGCTACCTTAAAATATATAGTCACTCTGGTAATAAGAATAAATAAATTTTGCAACATGAAATAATAAGGTTGTGTCTAACTTCCATGACATGCAGTGAAACAAACCAAACATAAGAAAGTGTATACAATTTGATTCCACTTATGTAACTTTTTTTAAAAAGTTTAATCAATCTGTGCTGTGGGATTTTAGGTAAGTGGTTATCCTCCAGAGGATAGTGACTGGAATGAGGTACAAAGGCTTTTTCATGATGCTGTAATGTTCTGTTTTATTTTGTTTGTTTTTTATCTAAGTGCTGGTTACACAAGTTATTTCTTCTCGAAACCCTTTCTATCTTGGAATAATTTTAGATTTCCAAAGCGTTTGCAAAGGTAGTACGGAAAGTTCCTATACACACTTCATGCAGTTGCCCCTAATTTGAACATCTAAAATGTTCACAGTCTGTCAAAAATCAAGAAACCAAAAATGGTATCTTAATAACTTAACCTCAAACTGTTTTTGGATTTCACCTGTTATTCCAGTAATGACTTTGTTCTGTTTCAGCATCAGGATATCACATAGCATTTAAATGCCTTTCAAAAAATTCATAGAGCTATACACTGGAGCAACTTTTCTCTATGTATATTATGCATAATACATTTTCAGAAGAAGAAAATAAATAAATATTCTCAATTCCTCAAAACAATAAGCTACTTGTAATGATTAAAGAATCATAAAACCCAGTACACCTGCCATTTTCTTTGTAAACTCGAAGTTAGGACTGAAATCTGATGTTAGGAACTTGGTATTTTGGTCTGTAAGAAATATTCATGCTTGAGAAGTATGGTAGAGAAAGTGGTAATAATGCAATTTCTTATTTTGTTTAAGGACTTGGACTCCTTTATATACTAACATATGCCCAAGAACACATTTTTCTTGAGATGAATTCTCAAAAGAGCAAAGCAATGAGATGATAAGTAATAAATACTAAATGCTAAAAGGTGATTTCAATGTATTTGAACATAAGTAATAATTTTTAATTATTCTCATAATTTATTCTGAAGAGTCATTTTCTGAAAATAATGACTGGTTGAAACAGCCAAAGCAGAATGAAGTAAGGCACCAACACTTTGAAATGTGACTACAAAATTGATTTTTTGGCTACCAGCTTTGGCAAAATTTACTGGAGACAACTCATAGATAATTGTGTCTATTATTTTCTTTCATAATTGATGTATTCTACTTATATAGTTGAATTTATTTTGCAAAATTATATAATGAAATATATCAGAGACAATTTTCTTTTTATTTCATCTTATTAAATATTTCCCTTTTCCTACTTGAAAAAAAAAGCCATATCACCAATAAATTATTGATTATATATACACCTTTTACTTCATTAAGTGGGTAGAAAAAGACTTAAACATTAAAACTAATTAAATAACACCATTTTCAATAATTTTTACTTTTGATTTATATTTAAGTATTAACAAAAGCTAAACAAGAATTCAACACACACGTGTAGATAGATAGATATATATATGCTTAAGAAGTTCTACATTTTAGCATATACATTTTATCTTAAAAACTTAAAATTTGGGTACATTAATACAAATTCACTGAGTGATTGCATATTGACATATTAACTTATTTTTATTACTTTATTTAAACTAGATTATGATATCTACATCAGTTTAATTTTGAATTAACTGGATTTCAGTAATCTATCAGAACATGTGTTCTATAATTTAGTTTTCAGTAGTTTTACGATATCCTTTTAAAAATAAATTAACATTTTTATTTGATTTGAAAGTAAAATCAGTAAGATGTGATGACTTGTGCCTTTAATCTCAGTTACTCGGCAGGCTGAAGTGAGATGATCCTATAAGCCCAGGATTTTAGGGTTCAGTCAGCTATGATTGAGCCACTGCACTCTAATCTGGGCAAGAGAGTGAGACCCCATCTCTTAAAGAAAGGAAAAGAAAAAGAGATAAAATCAGATTTTTATAACTAAAAGTAAGTCTGTTCTACTGTTTGGTTTAAGAGTGATAACTGTGCAAATTAGATTCATTTGGCAGAAAATTTTAATCCTAAGGTTAATACGTTAAATCTCAACATCCATCTTGCCTAAATTAGACACAGAGTCCTTACTAAGGTAAAAATTTTTTTCAAAAGAAATTGCATTGACAAAGATATATTTAAGCTAACAGCATTTTTATTTCCTGAACCTGTTTCATCCTTCACACCCCGCCCAACTTTCCCTCACTTCCACATTTTGGAGTTTCCAGTAAACTCTGCATATCCATGTGTATCCATTGTTTAGCACCCACAGATAAGTGATAACATGCAGTATTTCACTTAAAATAATGGGCTCCAGTTCCACCTATGTTGCTGTGAAATACATGATTTCATTCTTTTTTATAGCTAGAAAGTATCGCCTTATATATATTATATTAAAAAGGTATATTACGTAAAAATATATATCACATTTTTAATACAATCATCCGTTGATGGACACTTAAGTTTATTTCATGACTTTGCTATTGTGTATAACACTGTAATATACATAGAACTGCAGGTGTCTTTTTGATATAATCATTTCTTTTCCTCTGGTTAGATACCCAGTAGTGGGATTGATGAATTGAATGATAGTGCTATTTATAGTTCTTTGAGAGGAATACTCAGGCTTCTCTTCAGATCCTAGAGTTTTTTGAGAAATCTCCGTAAAGTTTTTCATAGAGCTCGTAGCAATATACATTCAAACCAACAGTATACATGCATTCCCTTTTCTCCACTTTCTGGCCAACATCTTTTGCTTTTGACTTAACAATAGCCTTTCTGAATGGGATAAAATGGTGTATCACTGTGGTTTAAATTTGCATTTATGTGACAATTCGTTGTAGTGAAAGATTTTTCATGTTTGTTGGACATTTGTATGTCCCTTTTTTTTTTTTTTTTTTTTTTTTGGAGACGTAGTTTTACTCTTGTTGCCCAGGCTGGAGTTCCATGGTACGATCTCGGCTCACTGCAGCCCTGCCTCCCGGGTTCAAGTGATTCCCCTGCCTCAGCCTCTGGAGAAGCTGGGATTACAGGTGACTGCAACCACGCCTGGCTAATTTTTGGTATATTTAGTAGAGACAGGGTTTCATCATGTTGGCCAGGCTGGTCTCGAACTCCTGGCCTCAGGTGATCTGCCTGCTGCTGCCTCCCAAAGTGCTGGGATTACAGGCATGAGTCACTGCAACCAGACTGTATGTCCTCTTTTGAAAAATGTCCGTTCATGTCCTTTACCCACTTTTCAATGGGGCTGTTTTTTATTTATTGAGTTCAGTTCCTCGTAGATACAAGATATTAGTCCTTTGTCAGATGAATGGTTTGCAAATAGTTTCTCTCATTCTGTTGGTTGTTTGTTTATTCTGTGGATTATTTCTTTTCCTGTGCAGAAGATACTCAATAGTCCATTGGTCTATTTTTGTTTTTGTTGTGTTTCCTTTTATAAACCTAGCTGTAAATTGTTTGCTTAGGTAAATGGGCATTCTCAGGTTTCCTTCTATGATTTTTATAGTTTCATTTCTTACCTTTAAATCTATAGTTAATCATGAGTTAATTTTTAGTGGTCTACCTATATTCTTCTGTGTACGTCTCTCCAATTTTTCCAGCACCATTTATTAAATAAGTTGTCCTTCCTCCAGTGTATATTTTTGTCAGCTTTGTCAAAGATCAGTTAGTTGTAGGTATGTGGCTTTATTTCTGGGTTATTTATTCTGTTTGATTGATCAGTGTGTCTATTTTTATATCACTACCATGCTGCTTTGGTTACTATAGACTTGTAGTATAATTCAAAATCAGGTAATGTGATACCTCCAGTGTTAATTCGTTTTCTTAGGATTGCTTTGGCTATTTGGTCTCTTTTTATTCTATATATGTTTTACTATCACTTTTTTCAATTCTGTGAAAAATAATATTGGTAATTTGATAGTAATTGTATTTATAGATTGCTTTGGGCAGTATGGTTATGTTAATGATATTTATTATTTCTATCTGTGAACATGGGATGTTTTTCCATTTGCTTTTGTTTTCTAAAATTTCTTTCATTAGTTTTTTTTTAAAAATATCTATTGTCAATGGGCTTGAGTTCTTGATTTGATTCTCATCTTGAGTGTTGCTGGTATGTAGAAATGCGACTGATTTTAGTACATTAATTTTTCATTCCTGAAGATTTACTGAGGTCATTTATCAACTTTAGGAGTCTTTTGGAGGATTATTTAGGGTTTTCTAGGTATAAGATTATGTCATCAGCAGACAGAGATAATTTGACTTGCTCTTTTTATATTTGAATACCTTTTATTTCTTTCTTTTGCCTGATTACTCTAGCTAGGACTTGCAGTACTATGTTGAACAGAAGTGGTGAAAATGGAATCCTTATCTTATTCCAGTTTTTAGGGAAAATACTCTCAACTTTTCCCTATTCAGCATGACGTTGACTGTGAGTATGTCATATTTGGCTTTTATTATTTTGAGATACGTGCCTTCTGTTCCTACTATCTTGAGGATTTTTTAAATGAAGTGATGCTGAACTTTATTGGCTCATTTTTCTGTATCTATTGAGACAATTGTATGTTTTTTGTTTCTAATTTTGTTTATACAGTGAATCACATTTATTGATTTACAAGTGTTGAACCAGCCTTGCATTCCTGGAATAAAAACTACTTGATTATGGTATATTATCTTTTTGATATGCTGTTAGGTTCAGTTTACTAGTGTTTTTTGAGGATTTTTGCATCTATGTTTATGTAGTTTGGATGCTGTCCCCAACCAAATCCTATGTCAAAAGGTAATCCCTAATGTTGGAGGTGGAGCCTCTGGAAGGTGATTAGATCATGGGGTGTATTTCTCATGAATGGTTTATTACCACCCCCTTGGTACTGTCCTCATGAAAATGAGTGAGTTCTCATGAGATCTGGTTGTTTAAAAGTGTGTGGCACCTCCCTGACTAGCTCTCTTGCTCCTGATCTGATCATGTGATGTGCCTGCTCCCCCTTTACCCCCTGCCATGACTGTATGTTTTCTGAGGCCTACCCAGAAGCTGAACAGATGCCAGGATCATGCTTCTTGTAAAGCTTGCAGAACAGTGAGCAAATTACATCTTTCCTTATAAATTACCCAGTATCAGATATTTCTTTATAACAATGTAAGAATGGCCTAATACATATGTTAATCAGAGTTAGTGGCCTGTGGTTTTATTTCTTTTCTGTATTCCTGCCAGCCTTTTGTATCAGGGTGATGCTGGATTTATACAATGAGTTATGGAGGATTTGCTTCTCTTTGATTTTTTTGATCAGGTCCACTAGGATTGAAACCATATCTTCTTTGTATCTCTCATAGAACTCAGCTTTGAATTTATTCCTGGCCTGTATTTTATGTTTGGAGAGTCATCATTACTTAATCAATTTTATTACTCATTACTAGTCTGTTCATGGTTTCTACTTCTTCCTGGTTCAATCTTGGGAGGTTGTGTATGTATCCATAATTTATCTATCCAATAATTTATCCATTTCTTCTAGGTTTTCCAGTTTGTGTGCATAGAGATGATGTTTATACTCATCTTAAAGAATTTTTTGTGTTTCTGTTGAGTCAGTTGAAAGGTCACCTTTGTCATTTCTGATTGTGCTTATTTTGATCTTCTCTCTCTTTTTTATTCATTCATCTGGCTAGTAGTCTTTCAATCTTGTTCTTTTTAAGAACACTTTTGATTTTGTTGATCTTTTTCCTGGATTTTTGTATCTGAATTTCATTGAGTTCAGCTCCAATTTTTATTAATTTTTTCTCTGGTAGCTGTGGGGTTTCTTTGCTCGTCTTTTTTTAGTTTCTGTAGACGTGATGTTAGACTGTTAATTTGAGACCTTTCAATTTCTACATGTAGGCATTTAAAGCTGTAAACTTTCCCTGTTTAACACCACTTTAGCTGTGCCCCAGAGATTCATATATGTTGTTTCTCTGTTTTCATTAGTTTCAAATATATTTTTGATTTTTGTCTTAATTTAATTCTATACAATACAGTCATTCAGGAGCAGATTGTTTAACTTCCTTGCAATTATATGATTTTGAGAGGTCTTCTTGAAATTGATTTCTCTTTTTATTGAGCTGTGGTCTGAGATGATGGTTGGGAGGATTTAGTTTAGTTTTGTTTGAATGTTTTAAGATTTGCTTTATGGCTGCATTAGGCCATTCTTGCATTGCAATGAAGAAACACTAAAATGGTTGAACCAGTTTACAGTCCCACCAAGAGTGTAAGAGTGTTCCTATTTCTCCACATCCTCTCCAGCACCTGTTGCTTCCTGAGTTTTTAATGATCGCCATTCTAACTGGTGTGAGACGGTATCTCATTATGGTTTTGATTTGCATTTCCCTGACGGCCAGTGATGATGAGCATTTTTTCATGTGTCTGTTGGCTGCATAAATGTCTTCTTTTGAGAAGTGTCTGTTCATATCCTTCACCCACTTGTTGATGGGGTTGTTTGTTTTCTTCTTCTAAATTTATTTGGGTTCTTTGTAGATTCTGGATATTAGCCCTTTGTCAGATGAGTAGATTGCAAAAATTTTCTCCCATTCTGTAGGTTGCCTGTTCACTCTGATGGTAGTTTCTTTTGCTATACAGAAGCTCTTTAGTTTAATTAGATTCCATTTGTCAATTTTGGCTTTTGTTGCCATTGCTTTTGGTGTTTTAGACATGAAGTCCTTGCCCATGCCTATGTCCTCAATGGTATTGCCTAGGTTTTCTTCTAGGGTTTTTATGGTTTTAGGTCTAACATTTAAGTCTTTACATCCGTCTTGAATTAATTTTTGTATAAGGTGTAAGGAAGGGATCCAGTTTCAGCTTTCTGCATATGGCTAGCCAGTTTTCCTAGCACCATTTGTTAAAAAGGGAATCCTTTCCCTATTTCTTGTTTTTCTCAGGTTTGTCAAAGATCAGATACTTGTAGATGTGTAGTATTATTTCTGAGGGCTCTGTTCTGTTCCATTGGTCTATATCTCTGTTTTGGTATCAGTACCATGCTGTTTTGGTTACTGTAGCCTTGTAGTATAGTTTGAAGTCAAGTAGCGTGATGCCTCTGGCTTTGTTCTTTTGGCTTAGGATTGACTCGGCAATGCAGGCTCTTTTTTGGTTCTATATGAACTTTAAAGTAGTTTTTTCCAATTCTGTGAAGAAAGTCATTGGTAGCTTGATGGGGATGGCATTGAATCTATAAATTACCTTGGGCAGTATGGCCATTTTCACGATATTGATTCTTCCTATCCATGAGCATGGAATGTCCTTCCATTTGTTTGTATCCTCTTTTATTTCGTTGAGTAGTGGTTTGTAGTTCTCCTTGAAGAGGTCTTTCACATCCCTTGTAAGTTGGATTCCTAGGTATTTTATTCTGTTTGAAGAAATTGTGAATGGGAGTTCACTCATGATTTGTCTCTCTGTTTGTCTGTTATTGGTGTATAAGAATGCTTGTGATTTTTGCACATATACACCATGGAATACTATGCAGCAACAAAAAAAATGATGAGTTCATGTCCTTTGCAGGGACATGGATGAAGCTGGAAACCATCATTCTCAGCAAACTATAGCAAGGACAAAAAACCAAACATTGCATGCTCTCACTCATAGGTGGGAATTGAACAATGAGAACACTTGGATACAGGAAGGGGGACATCACACACCAGGGCCTGTTGTGGGGTGGGGGGAGGGAGGGGGGATAGCATTAGGAGATATACCTAATGTAAATGATGAATTAATGGGTGCAGCATACCAACGTGGCACATGTATACATATGTAACAAACCTGCACATTGTGCACATGTACCCTAGAACTTAAAGTATAATAATTAAAAATAAAAATAAAAATGTATATAACAATAGGAAAAAATAAAAGAAACACCAGCGACAATTCTGTAGACTTTACAGAAAGTATGGTGCTGGCATCTACTAGGCTTCTAGGGAAGCCTCAGGAAGTTTAAATTATGGCAGAAGGTGAAGGGGGAGCAGGTACTCACATGGCAAAAGCAGGAGTGAGAGCGAGAGAGTGGGGAGGTGATGCCACACAATTAAAGAATGAGGTCTCACGTGAACTGAGAGCAGAGCTGATTTACAACCAAGAGGATGGTCCAAGCCATAAAAGAGGCATCCGCTCACGTGATCCAAACACCTTCCACCAGGCACCAGCTCCAACATTACAGTATTTGCTACTTGCAGGTGAGAAGAATGTATATTCTGTTTTCGTTGGGAGGAGTATTCTGTAGATGTCTATTAGGTCCAATTCATCAACTGTTGAGTTTAAGTCTAGAATATCTTTGTTTGTGTTCTGCCTCAGTGATCTATCAAATGTTGTCAGTGGGGTGACAAGGATTTCCACTGTTATTGTGGGGTTATTGGAATCTCTTTTTAGGTTTGTAATAACTTGTTTTATTAATCTGGGTGCTTTAGTTTTGGGCATAAATATATTTAAGATAGTTAGGTCTTTTAATTGAATCAAACCCTTTATCATTATGTAATGTCCTTCTTTGTCCATTTTGGTCATTATTAGTTTGCAGTCTGTTTTATCTGATATAAAAACAGTAATCTCTACTCTTTTTGTCTTGCTATTTGTCTGATAGCTTTTTCCCATCCTCTTACCTTGAGCCTATGGATGTCATTACCTGTGGGATGGTCTCTTAAACACAGAAGACAATTGAGTCTTGCTTCTTTATCCAACTTGCCACTCTATGCCTCTTAAGTGGGTGTTTAGCCCATTTACATTCAAGGTCAGTATTGATATGTGTTATTTGGATCCTGTCATCATGTTAACTCATTGTTATGTAGACTTGATTGTATAGTTGCTTTAGAGTGTCAACGGGCTATTTACTTAAGTGTGTTTTTGTGGGTGGCAGGCATTGTTCTTTTGTTTCCATGTTTAGCATTCCCTTTAGGGTCTCTTATAAGGCAGATGTAGTGGTAACAAATTCCCTTAGTGTTTGCTTGTCTGTAAAGGACTTTATTTCTCCTCTGTTTATGAAGCTTAGTCTGAAGGAATATGAAATTCTTGATTGAAATTTCCTTTCTTTAAAGATTGGGTGCTCCATTGTTGGATGTATTTATACATCCAAGTGTTGTTATATCTTATTGTTAAATTGATTTCTTTATCATTATACAATGACTTTCTTTGTTTTCCTCTTACTGTTGTTGATTTAAAGGCTGTTCTATATGATATAAATACAGCTACTTCTGTTTGCTTTTGTGTCTATATGTGGAATATATTTTTCCACCTCTTCATTTTGAGCTCACAAATCTTTTGATCATTTAGCTGGGTTTCTTGCAGGCTGCTTTGTGTTGATCTTGTTTTATCACCCATCCTACCAACCTACATCTCTTATGTAGGGCATTTAGTTCATTTGCATTCAAGGTTAATATTGCTAGGTGAGATTTTGTTCCTGTCGTAATGTTAATTATTACCTAGATCTTTTATAGTCTTGTTTGTGTAACTACCTTATGATTACTGCTAGTTTTGTATTTTCATGGTTTTTTTAAATTATGGTGAGTACTACCTTTTTGTTTCCATGTTTAAAACTCTGTTGGGCATTTCTTATAGGACCAGTCTAGTGGTTAGGAATTTCCTTAGTGTGTGCTTCTTTGGGAAATTATTTATTTCTTCTTTACTTATGAAACTTAGTTTAGCAGGGTACAAAAACTTGGCTGGCTTTTTTTTCTTAAGAAGACAGAAAATAGGACCTCAATCTCTTCTGGCTTATAAGATTTCTGCTGAGACGTCTGCTGCTAGTGTGATAGGATTTCCTTTATAGGTGATTATTAGGTGCTTCTTTCTTGCTGATTTTATGATTTTTCCTTCATATTGACTCTGAATTGTCTGATGATTATATGTGCTGGTGAAGTTTATCTTTCAATGTATTTTCTAGGAGTTATCTGAGCTTCTTATATCTGGATGTCTAAATCTCTACCAAGACCAGGGAAGTTATCCTAATTTCCTCAAATATGTTTTCCATAGTTTTTACTTTTTCTTGTTCTCCCTCTGGAATACCTATACCTCAGAGTTTTGGATATTTTATAGAATTCAATGTTTCTCAAAGGCTTTGTTTTTAAAAAATTTATTTATTTTTTACTGTTTTTGACTGGATTAATCAAAAGACCTGTTTTCCAGCTTTGAAATTCTTTCTTCTGCTTGTCTCACCTATTGTTAATGACTTCAAATGTGTCTTGTAATTTTTTGATGTGTATTTTTTATTTTCAGAAGTTCTGTTTGTTTTGTTTGTTTGTTTCAAATTATGTAACAAGTTGTTTGCTCTGCCTCTTTGCTTTTACCATAAGTGGAGTATGGCTCACTCAAGTTGTCATCTAATAGAACTTTAAAAATTGAGTTTAATCATAGATCACAACATGATGTAAAGTAATTGAATACCATTTCTGTAACAGAATTTCCTCCATTTCAACCTTCTTATATTTGTAAACCAAATGTATCTGTGTGTATACAAACAGTAATTAAAAATGGAATATTATTACAAATGATATGCTAATAGGTAGTATTCTTCTATGGATATACAAACTATTTTAAAAAATGTAGTTCATTTGTATCTCACTATAAAACATATCCACAATAATTCAATTATTTTTAATTTTTAAATTTAAAGAGTAAAATATATTTTGATCATTTTTAAATTACAATAAAAACTAAATATTCAAAAATACCATTATAACTACAGAGAGAAAATTTGCTTTATACTTTTAATTTCAGGAGATATTTTTGTTGTAGTAAAACTGTAATGAAATTATTAATAATCTTCACTTATAAAGATATTTGATTTATTTAAATTATAAAGAAGTTGAATGGAAATGTAAGTTCATAAAAAGAAGATAAGCTATTTGATTGGACAAATCCACTTAGTCATGCATTTCTAAATGAATATTGGTGGGTTTCTGACTCTTATGGTATTCAGATTCCATTTGTTATATTTACCATATTGATGAAATATTTTTAAAATACATTAATATAATATGAAAGAGTTATAATATCATTTTTAACTTAAAATTTAAAAAATTTATATGTCTGCTTAATAAATATGTGAGAGAAATTATATTTATTAGAGTTAGATGTGGAAATATTTAGAAGGTAATTATTATAATATAATTATTCCAAAAAGTTATGTGATAACTAAAACCTATAACAATTTAGAAGAAAGAAAAAGTCTCCACAGAAAACCTGTTTGAGCTGATTTGTGAAATAGACGTATAAGCTATTCAGAAGGAAGCAAGGACATAAATTTAAATCTGGCTGAAGAACATGTGCAAAAACACAGGGTGTGAAATAATTTGTTCAATTTTAGGAGTGATAAGTTAATATATTTACCCATAAGTCCCATAAGTGGCACATAAAAGACAGTGCAGAAAAGATAGGAGCAAGTTAAGAAGGACATTTTCTGACCTTAACATATTATGGGCATAATAGGGGGTTATTAAAAATTTTAACTTAATGTCTAACATCAGATTTTTTGTGTTAGAATAATTACTGTTTTGTCATAGGAAAAAAATACATATTTAAGAAAAAAAGACTTGAAGTTTATAATCAAGCAATGGACCTGAAAAATAATAAGGACATGAACTAATACAATTTTAGAAGAAATATGCTATAATGCTGTTGTAGAATAAAGACAGACAGACATAATGTGGAGAAAATCTGTGTAAAATTGATCTACGTGGATAGATGATGAAATGTAGACATCTGTCTTTAAGCATTTCAGCATATTAATTCCCTTAATAGAATTTTAAAGGAGTATACTTCGATTATGGCATTTTATTCCTTTTTACACACTGAAAATTTAAGGCCCACTAAAAATTCAGAAAGAAATGCTGAAAAATAATTGGAAGTTTTTGTCTGTAGCTTAGAGAATGGGTCATAGTTGGAGGTTGTTGTGATTAATTTTATGTGTCATCTTGCCTGCAAGAAAGTTTGCTCAGATAGCTGATAAAACATTGTTTCTGGATGTGTCTGTGAGGGTGCTTCAAAAAGAGATTGCCATTTAAATTGGCAGACTAAGTAAAGCAGATCCACTCTCACTAATCTTGTTAGTCAACCTCCATTCCACTGAGCCTAAATAAAAATAGAACAAAAAGGTAGAATGAAAGGCAAATTATTTCTTTCCTTAATCTAGGATATCTATCTTCCTCTGCCCTCAGACATTAAGATTGGTTCTCCAGCCTTTGGACTTTAGGACTTTCACCTGAACTGTGCCCCTATCAGAGACACACCTCTTCGGACTGGGAGTTGAACCATTGGCTCCCCTTGTTCTCATGCCTTCAGACTCAGACTAAATTATACCACTGATTTTCACGGTTCTCCAGTTCAGAGAGAAAAAATCATGGGACTTCTTGGTCTCCATAATTACATGAGCCGATAATAAATCTCTCTATCTTCTTCTCTCCCTCTCTGTCTCTCTCTATATATATGTATACACACACACAATTATATACATAGACACATAATTTTTTCATATTATACATAATAAGAAATTATATCATACAATATGAAAAATTTATATTACATATAATATGAAATTATATCATATAATATGAAAAAATTATGTCTATGTATACAATTTTATATATATGAAAAATTATGTATATATTCTCTATTGCTTCTATTTCTGTAGAGAATCCTGATCAATATAGAGGTAAAGTCATGAAGCCCTGAGACACAGGTACACATTAAGTAGCCAGAATGAGAAATTATCCAAAAAGAAATGATTAGTAACAGGAATATTTACGGGTAGGTGGAGGGCAAAGAATAATTAGAACTCAATTAAAGAACAATTATAGAAATTTATAAAAATAATAAAAGAAATGGTATTATTAAAGCAAAAATATGAGAAAAAGTAATGGATAATATGACATGCTGAAAAAGCTAAAGAAAACAAATATAAAGTATTTTTTCCATATAGAATTTATCAATTCACTGGTGACCTAGTAAGAATTGTCAGTTTGTAGAAAAAGCTGAATATTGCAATGAACCTAGAAAACAAATGAAGTTCAGTACTTAAAAAGAACAAATCTATTTTAAAGTTTTTATTGTAAAAAAAAAAGTGAGAAGATTAGAAGAAGTAGTCAAATTATTATTTTTTAAGTTATTTACCAAGAGTGAGATTTATCAGTGTTTAAGGGATAAAGGTAAGGGCCCAGAGTAAAGGGAAAAATATATGTTGTAGAAGTGAAAAGAGATTATTTATAGGCCATTTATAAAAAAGTATATTATTCAACATATTCAGGAGGAATGGCACTTGAGGGTGCTGGCAGAAGAGTTTGATGCTCAGGATCAAATCCTGGTTCACTTCTCACTAGCTGTGTGATTTGGGCAGGTTACTAAACATAGGCTTGATTTACACACTGGAGATAGTAACAATTATGTCTTCTACAATTGCCATGAATATTAACATGCCCAGTAATGTAAACTAATGGAATCAAGGCCCAACAAAAAGGAAATATTCCATAAGTGTAAGCTTCAGTAGATGTAAAAAATTTGAATTTCTGGTTTAGAAAACTATACAGTAAGGGGACCTCAGCTAAGTAGGAGAACAGTTTGACTATAGGAGCTTCATTAACATTAGATGATATTCATGAAAAATGACAAAGATGCATTACTTTGTTTAATTTTCTGCAAAACAAAGAGATTGTCACCCACTGGTGGAGAAGGCAAATGATTAGATTCACCCAAGTGGAAGGCGTAGAGGACGTGTGGAGTAGTATAACAAAAACTTGAGGGTGGATGGGCTAAAGACCTGTTAAAATAATGACTCTTTCTTGCGTATGAAAAGAAGCACCTGTTTAAAGTCCGAACTAACAAATCCTATTCATGTATGTGTCTTGTGAGGTCTCTCCCTCGGCCTTTATATGTTTATGCCAAAAGGAGAAGGAAAATTATTGGGGAAAAAAAGTAAAAATGTGTACAGCAACAGGAACTTTCAATCATTCCTGGTGGAAATGCAAACAGGTGCAACCACTTTGAAAGAGACTTTGTCATTTTCTCATAAAACTAAACATACTTTTAACCCTACCCTCTAGAAATCACCTTCCTTCGTATTTTCCCAAAGTTGAAAACTTCTGTCTGCACAAAACTATGCACGTAGAGTTTTACAGAATCTTTAATCATAGTTGTTAAAACTTGGAAGCAACCAAGATGTCTTTTAGTAGGAAAATGAATAAATATACTGTAGTACATCCAGGCAAAGGAATATCATTCAGTGCTAAGAAGGAATGAGCTATCTTATGAGCTATACATATAAGAATACATGTAGGAAACTAAGTAAAAGCAGCCAATCTGAAACGAAAAAACAAACAAACAAAAACTACATAATGTATGATTACAATTATATGACATTCTGGAAAAGGCAAAACTATGGAGACAATAAAAAGATCAGAGGAGTGAGAAGTTAAGCGACAGAGGGATGAAGAGACAGAACGCAGGATTTTTAGGGCAATGAAACTACCTGTATGATGCTGTAGTGATGGATACATATTATTGCACATTTTTTTTTTTTTTTTTTTTTTTTTGAGACGGAGTCTTGCTCTGTCGCCCAGGCTGGAGTGCAGTGGCGCGATCTCTGCTCACTGCAAGCTCTGCCTCCCGGGTTCACGCCATTCTCCTGCCTCAGCCTCCCGAGTAGCTGGGACTACAGGCGCCCGCAGCCACGCCAGGCTAATTTTTTATTTTTAGTAGAGACGGAGTTTCGCCGTGTTAGCCACGATGGTCTCGATCTCCTGACCTTGTGATCCGTCCGCCTCGGCCACCCAAAGTGCTGGGATTACATGCTTGAGCCACCACACCCGGCCATTATTACACATCTGTCCAAATCAATAGAACGTGCAACACCAACAGTGAACTCTAACGCAAATTATGGATCTTCATTGATAAAGATGTACCAACGTCATCAATTGTGGGAAATTTGGCACTCTGCCAGAGAATATTGATAATGGGGGAAACTACGCATATTTGGGGGGAGTGGGTATATGAAAAATCCCTGTAACTTCCTCTCAATTTTTCTGTAAACTTAAAACTGCTGTAAAATAGTTTATTAAAAATAAATTGAAAAAGATAAAAGAAACATAGGTTTAATAAAATCTCAGATCAGAGAATGTTTTAAGAATACATGTATGAAATATGATATCAAATACTATGGCAGCATTAAGCAGAATGAGACTGAGAAATGCCCACTGGATAAACACATAAGATGATAGGTGATACTGGCAAGAGCTCTTTGGGGAGAATCGTGTAGTGGTAGATAAGAGTGAGGTGGAGAGAACAAGTAAGGATACAAGAACATATAAAAATAGTAGTCGTAGACGGATTGAAGTGAAAAGAATAAGTGAGGATATAAAGCAATACAAAAATAACGGCAAGTGATTCAAGAAATTACATTGTGAGAAGGAACAGAGAAATGTGGCAGCACATTAAGAAAATATTAGATTCATTGAAACTTCTCTCTCCCTTCTCTTTGGCTCTTACTATATGCATGCAAGCACACATGTGTGCATGGATGTGATTGTGTGTTTGGGTTTTTGTGTTTAATGGGAAATATTAGATGTTTTAAGAAGTAAAAGTGGGTTGAAATGGGCACAAATGGCCTTTTGGAACTCTTGTATACTAACTTCCATCTTTAACTGAATTTATAAGGAAGGGCTATAAAATGCAGCATTTCAATATCAATAATAAAGACAATATGAACAGCAATTCTTATAGAGGGCTTTCTACATCCTGGTCACAGGTAAAATGGCCTTACACATATTAACTCATTTAAATCTGCAATAAATCTTAAAGTCAGTGATACTAACCTTATTATGCAGAGGAGGAAACTTATGTGCAGAGGAGGAAACTTATGTGCAGAGCAGACATGTAACCTTCCTATAGTCACTGGTGGAATAGGTGGTCTAGCTAAGAATTTGTTCCAGGTTTCAGGACCCCAGATCTGTGTCCTTAAACACCATAATATGCTGCCTCTTCCAGAATATTTTGTAAAAGTATGGGGTACAAGTGCAATTTTGTGACATACACAGATTGTGTAGTAGGTCAAATCAGGGCTTTAGGATATTCATTGCCCAAATAATGTACATTGTCCCTATTAAGTAATTTCTCATCCTCCACTCCTCTCTAGAGATTTTAAGGCATACTTATTATTACTCACATGTCTTAGAATTCACTTTGGGAAGTGCTGACAAAGATTAATAAGTCATAAAGAAGAAGACCCATATCCTGGAGAATAGCTTAAGGTAGATAGCTAAGGAGAAGAATGCAGGTGATAGAAGAGAAGTTAGTCCAGAAGATATTACAAAAGTTAACAAAATAATGGGGAAGGGCAGGGCTTGTAATGATAAAGTTGTCATAAGAACCATCAATGAAAGGATATATAATAGTATAATAGAAATCTTCTTTTCTTTTTAGTGGAATTCTATATTCATTTTTAGCAGTTCACAAGCAGTGACTTAGTTTTATATTTCCATATTTTCTTCCGCATATGTATAAGCTTGTTTGCATTGCTATAAATAAATTCCCAAGACTGGGTAATTTATTTTTTAAAAAGGTTTATTTTGTCTCATGGTTCTATAGGCTGTATATGAAGTGTGGTGCTGGTATTTGCTTCTGGTGGGGGCCTCAGGAAGCTTACATTCATGACAGAAGCTGACCAGGGTGCAGGTGCATCACATGGTGAGAGAGGGAGCAAAGAGCAAAAAGGAAATTCCAGGATCTTTGAAACAAACAGATCTCACATGAACTCATAGAGTGAGAATTAATTCATTATGGCAAAGATAGAACAAAGCCATTCATGAGGGACCTGCCCCCATGATCTAGCCAATCCTCTATCAAGCCCAGCCTCTAACACTGGGGATTAGATATCAACATAAGATTTGGAAGGAACAAACATCCAAATTGTATCTAGGTTATCTTGGTTTGAAAAGTCAGTTATCTATTCTAAGTCCCTAGTTATCATGAACTTACTCTCTGAAAATGATGTGATATTTGTAGGAAATAAGATATTTCTTCATGATCTAGAAATTCAAATTATATAGTAAATTCATTTGATTAAAACAATTGTGTGCTAGCCCTTAGCTCTTAGGCATGCAGGCTATAGGAAGTTTTAATTTAAGTAGAGTTTAAATCTCTTTTTCCACATGAAACACGGTAAAACTCACTTCTTTAAAGAAAGTTGTCATTCAGTATGGGATGAACACTGAATCTTTGTGCAGCACTAGACTTGATGTAAATCAAAAGATATGTTCTCAAATCAGAGGGTATTTTGTAAATTGCAGTAACATTTTCCATAATCTGACTAATGTAAAACTCTATGCCAATGGTTCTTATTCAAAGGTTACGAATATGAAGATAACTTTCATTTATTTGTTATAGAAAGAAATATTTCAAGCCCTTGCTTCAAACCCATTGAAAATAATTATCTGGGAGTTTGTCTAGGGAAGTTTATAATATCAAAATATTTCCAGGTAAACTATGCACTCTCTTTTCCTTATTAAAAGATACTGCCAAGTAACACGAAGTAAAATAAAATTACTTGTAGGCCAGATACCTTGTCTAACCTCTAGCCCAACTGAATAACTCCTTTTTAATATCCTTGACAGATATCATATTACCTCTCATGTAATTGTTTCGTTTTCTTATAGAACTAGTTATAGATAGCAATAGTTCACATTTGTAAAATTATTAGAGTTTCTAAATGCTATGTAGATCTAGTCAATCTATTCAACAATCCTGTGAAATGAGACATTCATGGAAATTACCTCCATTTTTCAATTAATAAAATTAGTGGTATGGAGATTTACTGATTTTTACCACATTAAGAACTATCAAGTGTCAGAGCTGGGATAAAATTCAAGCCTGAAGATGTTACCATTACCTACACCATATGACATTCCTGTGAATGGGGTGATCATAGAAGACGATCTCTCTCACCAACTTCAAGTCTTTGTACAACTCTGCTTTTCTTAGATCCATCTGCATTTCTCTCTTCATCATAGTTTTCTGACTCTCATACAGTCTCAATTTATTTATTCAATTCTTCATAGAAATGTGATTATCTTGAATATTGACCCAAGGAGTTTAGGTGATCCTCTTATGTAATACCCTTTGCTCTCCTGTCATAAAACTTACTAAAGTTGGTTGAATTATGGTTAGTGTAATGACTCCTCATCTTTCAAGACTAACATCTCTTAATCTACATTGACCATGTCTTACTTTCTCACTGTAAACCTTCTATCTTCTATACTCAGCTCATTCCGTGGAAGAAATTCAATATAAATGGATATCTGTTGAATTAATGAATAAAATAAGGACATTTTTATTTTTAGTAAATTTTTCTAATAATTCAAGACAGTACTCCCCATCTCTCCAATTCCTTAAAGTAAATGCTTTTAAATTTGTTTGCTTTTTAGCTAGATTTTAAGAAGAAATGCACAATACCCAGTTGACTAGGTTAGATTCTGCGGGCTTTCTTTTTAACCTGAAGGGCTCAGAGCTGATTCTGCTACAGTTCATGTTATCTCAGTAGGGCTGACAACTACCTTACTACTGCTTCTTTACTTCTCCACTTTAATATGGACACTGAAATTGTATTAATTCTAAATCAAAATTGCCTTTCTGACAGCCCTGTCATCGCACTAACTTATTTTCCACTTGTAGTCAACTGAAACTCCTGGTCTTTTTCACTTAAACTGTCAGAAATTCACAACTCACCTGTCTTGTATTTCTGCATTTGGTTTCTGAAGCTAAGTAAATCAATAAATTAGATAATGAATTATTCAATATTGCTATTGGCTCATATTGCTTGTCTTGTTTTCTACTTTAAAAACATCTGGTGATATTTGTTGGTGAATTTTGAATATGGTTTACCTTCACATTTTTTTTTTTTCTATTGCTGCTGCAGTCATAAAAGATAGAATGTGTGCTGAGGTACCAAATGCTTCACTTCTACTTTTGCTTTGCCAGGGACTGGAAATATGGACACTGCCCTTTCTAAACTGTTTGCTCATCCCAGAACTCTCCTGTTTCCTTCAAGAAATGTATATGACCCAGTTGAAGCTTTTCAATAGCTTCCATAGCTCTGACTGCCTTTTTTATTTTTTTCTTTCTTTTTTTCTTTTTTGAGACAGAGTTGCTCTGTCACCCAGGTTGGAGTGCAGTGGTGCAATCTCGGCTCACTGCAACCTCCACCTCCTGGGTTCAAGCGATTCTCCTGATTCAGCCGCCCAAGTAGCTGGGATTATAAGTCCCCGCCACCACACCCTGCTAATTTTTTTGTTTTTAGTAGAGACAAGGTTTCACCATGTTGGCCAGGCTGGTCTTGAACTCCTGGCTTCATGTGATCTGCTTGCCTTGGCCTCCCAAAGTACTGGGATTACAGGTGTGAGCCACCGTGCCTGGCCTCTGATTGCCTTTAATCAGAGGCAAATTCATGTGAATTCTAAAACTGTTATTCTTACAATTTATGCATGATTTTTAAACTTTTTTTCTATTAAAGGATTTTTTACTTCTAAATAAATGCTTATTAGTACTTGAATTATAAAATAAATATTTTTGTTCAACATAACATGTTTTAATGCTAGATATCATACTTATGTAATAGCCAGTATCATCTAAACACAAATACATATATATATGTTGTAAACTTTAATTATTTTTCAGGATTAGTGTTGTTTACTATGTGAGTTTAGTATATTCCTGCTATAATTTAGTATTTAAGTCCCTTTGTATGAAAATTTTTAAAAATAACAAACAAAGCACCAGCCAGTAAGTAATAGTCATTGCTCTTTCTCTAGCTTACTAATGATACAGAAAACAAACAGAAAAAAAACCTTAAAAGCTTAGTTTCTTCAAAAATTCTTATAATGTGGAGTGGATAGAACATTCAGTGATTTAACTAGGGGGTTCTTCATGGTAATTTTCACTTCAAATTAATGCCTTCACTGTTTTTCTACAACTTCTACGGATGTCTCTCTAACTCTCTCTCCTCTCTCTGTATCAATATATTTATTTATGTCTATGCCTATATATGTATCTCTGAAAAAGTAGGACAAATTTGTGTCTGATTATAAAAGAGTATATGTATCACAGTTACAAGATGCACATTTCACTTTAATGAAGAAGAAAAATAGCAATATCGACAATTCACTGAGAAATACAAATGGGCTATATAATCACAAGACTCATCAAACTACCAGAAGAATAGAGGGATATGAATCTTCTGGGAAGGGCTTCTTTATAATGAAATTGTGTCTCTTGTTTTGTTTGTTTGCCTGTTTGTTTTTGAGACAGGGTCTTGCTATGTTGCCCATGCTGGAGTGCGGTGGCACAATCAAGGTTCACTGCAGTCTCTGTCTCCCAAACTCAAGTGATCCTCCCACCTCAGCCTCCAGAGCAGCAGGGACTACAGGTGCATGCCACCATGCTGGCTAATATTTTATTATTATTATTATTATTTTTTAGTGTAGACAAAGTCTCATTATATTCCTCAGGCTGGTCTCTAACTCCCAAGCTAAAGCAATCTTCCTGTCTTGGCCACTCTGAACCCAGTTTGTTTTATATGTCTTTATAATCTTAGCAGGCTCTTAATTATGTAAAGACAGTGAGAAAGACAGAAGTTACTTCAGTACTAAGTATATGTCTGAATATTGCATGATACTGAGGAGTATTTTGTACTGCTTGCATTAAGTAATACTAAGTATTTTCATATCTCCTAAACACAAGCTTGATGATTTCTCAGTTTAGGAAAATCCATAGCAAACTCATTCCCCTTATTAGATCTGAATACAGTAATTACAAATCACTTCCTTATAAAGATGAAGGGAGGGCGGTGCCTGGCTATCTGGTTCTTCTCATTACTTCTCTCACTTTTCTCTTCCCCAACTCCAATCTTATCCATTAACTCTCTGCTATGGGGACTAGGCAGCTCCAAAGTGACTTTCTTTTTGTCCAGAACTCCCATTGTCCATATTTATAATTTCTCAATGTTTATCTCACTGTATTTCACTTAAATACTCACACTACCAGTGAATATCCTAATAAGAATAGGTATTATTGTAACATTTTTTGTTGGAAGAGAGGTCAACATTGTACAGTGGGAAGGGCTTTAGAATATGTCTAATCTGGATTAAAACAGCAGTTTCATGACTTGCTTATTTTGTAGCCGTAGAGGAATATCTTAATGTTTTTGGTCCTTCTTTTCTTTATTTTCTAAAAAGAATAGGAACTAATTAGCTTGTTAGTTAAAATTAAATATGCTCATTACATAATTAACATTAAAAATATGTAAATTAACCTTAATATCACATCCCTGGGCAGTTTTAAACTGAAGCTAATGAACCCTTTGATCTGCACGACCCTCTTGTACACTGGCCTCTTTCTGAGGTAGTGTTGTAGCAATGTACACATATAGTTACATGCCTTCATAAAACTGAAAATAGTTTTTTCCTAACAATTAGTTGAGATTGTTATCTCTTTCTAGTTGAAATTTTCCTGTCTTAGAATTTCCCTCATGTTTATTGACAATGGAATGGGATTGGAAATTTTGCAGATCTGACTAAGGATGAGTTTTGTTGGGGATATACTTAGTTTACGTTTAGTAAAATTTTTTTTTATATTTAAATGGTATGTAGATGCATTTTAATAGAACTAGGTTATTGATGGTGTCTCATATGAAAATGGCTTCAATAAATACGTCTGCTCCCAAAGTACTGGATCACTTTACAGTCTGGTAAGAGGATACAGACTTAGTGGTCAGATATCATTCTGAATGTGTTATTCTCCTCCATTACTCTAGCAATTATGTTTGATTATTCCAAACATCAGCCTGAAATTCTCTATAAAATAATTTGCTTAGTAAAACAATACTAGCTGGAGCATCCAGGAGAAAAGTCAAAATAAGAAAACAAAAACAGAATTTATGAAAGAGGTAAAATATATTCCTATCTTTTTCACTCCTCTGCAATACGCACACAGACACACATACCACATACGCATGGGTGCATGTGTATGGGTATGTATTGTCAGACTGTTGAAAATCAGTTTTCATTGATCTCCATTGAAAAGAAAAGTTCTTCCCTTTTAGGAGAAACTAATTTTTTTCCTTTTTTAGTTGGAATTTTTCAAAATTGAATTTATTAGAATGACAGTTTATATTTTACCTACACAGAATATACTAGAGAAAAAGCAAGCTTATATGTCTGTGAAATCACGTTTTGAGCATCATGAATCATCACATTATTTCTTCAACTACCTGAATTATATTTAATTTTTTAAGAAACTGCCAAAATGCCTTTCAACACGGCAGTACCATTTTGCATTCCTACTGGCGATGAATGAAGTTTCTATTGTTCCTTATCCTCACCAACATGTGTTATTGTCAGCACGCTGGATTTTGATCAATCTAATGGATGTGTAGTTGTACCTCTGCGAAGTTTTATCTAGTTATTCTAACCCACAATTTTCTTTCCTTTCTATTAATTCTTCAAATGAAGTCACATACTGCAGTTCTATGGGCTGAATCAGCCTGCAAGATTTTTTTGTGTGTGAGTGGGGACACATTGTTTAAAATATTTTAGTTTGAATTTCTTTCAACGGAGTGAACTCTCAAGTTCAACACCATTCTCACCACTACTTACTGTTTTTTAATCACCTCAGTTTCCTAATTTCATTCATCTGCTGTGTCCTTAAAGACATTTGAATTTAAAACCACTGCAATTCACTTGGGCTTTAATGCAGTGGGTATTGTTAGTTATTGTATTAGGGTTCTCCAGAAAAACAGAACCAATAGGATGTGTCTTCATGGAGAAAGACATTTATTTTAAGAAACTGACTCGTATAATTGTGGGAAAAATTTAAGACGCAGATCATTAGAAAATTCTGGTAGAAGTTGGCCGGGCATGGTGGCTCACGCCTGTAATCCCAACACCTTGGGAGGCCGAGGCGGGTGGATCACGAGGTCGAGAGATCGAGACCATCTTGGCCAGCATGGTGAAACCCCGTCTCTACTAAAAACACAAAAATTAGCTGGGCGTGGTGGCACACGCCTGTAGTCCCAGCTACTCAGGAGGCTGAGGCAGGAGACTCGCTTCAACCAGGGAGTTAAGAGTTTGCAGTGAGCCCAGATCGCGCCACAGAACTCCTGCACTCCAGCCTGGGGACAGAGCGAGACTCTGCCTCAGCTGGGCACGGTGGCTCATGCCTGTAATCCCAGCACTCTGGGAGGCCGAGGCGGGCAGATCATGAGGTCAGGAGACCGAGACCATCCTGGCTAACATGGTGAAACCCCATCTCCACTAAAAATGCAAAAAAAAAAAAAAATAGCCGGGAGTTGGGGCAGGCCCCTGTAGTCCCAGCTACTCTGGAGGCTGAGGCGGGCAGATCATGAGGTCAGGAGATCGAGACCATCCTGGCTAACATGGTGAAACCCCATCTCCACTAAAAATACATAAAAAAAAAAAATAGCCGGGAGTGGGAGCAGGCCCCTGTAGTCCCAGCTACTCTGGAGGCTGAGACGGGAGAATGGTGTGAACCCAGGAGGCGGAGCTTGCAGTGAGCCGAGATCGCGCCAGTGCACTCCAGCCTGGGCAACAGAGTGAGACTCCGAAAAAAAAAAAAAGAAAGAAAGAAAGAAGGAAAGAACGAAGTTAGGAAGGAAGGAAGGAAGGAAAGAAGGAGGGAAGGAAGGAAGGAAGGAAGGAAGGAAGGAAGGAAGGAAGGAAGGAAGGAAGGAAGGAAGGAAAGAAAGAGAGAGAGAGAAAGAAAGACAGGAAGGAAGGAAAGGAAAAGAAAGGAAAGGAA
Source organism: Homo sapiens (assembly GCF_000001405.40). Taxonomy (NCBI): domain Eukaryota; kingdom Metazoa; phylum Chordata; class Mammalia; order Primates; family Hominidae; genus Homo; species Homo sapiens. The sequence continues at coordinate 69,035,949 of NC_000013.11, read as the reverse complement.
AGACAAAGTGAGAAAGAAAAAGAAAGAAAGAGAGAGAGACAGGAAGAAAGAGAAAGAAAGAAAAAGAAAGAAAGAAAGTTTCGGTAGAAGTTAATGTTGCAGTCTTAAGTTAGAAGGCATTCTAGAGGCATAAATGTAAGTAATATTTTATAGTGATAGTCTAAATTGTTTAACAGATAACCCTTACCAAAATGCTAGGGGATCATTAATAAGGGCAATTACCTAATACTATCTTCTAAGAAAAATGATTGCATATGCTATATGCAAAATTATACTTATTTAGATTCTTAAACCATCTGTCAATGGTTCATATTACAATAGTTTTCAGTACAATTAATTTAAACGGAGAGAAGAAAAACTCAAATTAGGAAATAATTTTAGGCATCTTTTCAAAATCAAAGTACATAAAATATTAATAGCTTATTATTTAATACCATATTTCAATTTTTTAATATTTGTCTCTAAAATATTTAGACATCATGTTAGTATAAATAATGGTTAAAATCTTGATAAACTCAATAAACCAATCTCTCTAAACCAATGTTAAACAGTTAGTACATAGTCTTAACAGATTATTTATTAGTTGAGCAAGAAAGGCCCAGCCAGGCAAATACATATCAATATTCTACTCTATGGCTTACTTTTCAATGGCTAGCTCATTAACATCTTTTTTATTATGATATATATATATCTTGGCTGGGTGTGGTGGCTCGCTCCGGTAATCCCAGCCCTTTGGGAGGCTGAGGCAGGCGGATCACCCGACATCGGGAGTTTGAGACCAGCCTGACCAACATGGAGAAATCCTGTCTCTACTAAAACACAAAAAATTAGCCAGGCATGGTGGCACATGCCTGTAATCCCAGCTACTCGGGAGGCTGAGGTAGGAGAATTGCTTGAACCTGAGAGGCCGAGGTTGCGGTGAACCAAGATCACACTGTTGCACTCCAGCCTGGGCAACAAGAGTGAAACTCTCTCTCAAAAAAAAAAAAAAAAAAAGATACATATATCTTGCATAAACATGTTCAGAAGTGCATATGATTGTTTCCGAGAATTGGATTACATTTAAACTATTGTTTATTATTGAATATTTTAGTCATCTTCATGTTTCTTTACTACAATACAACAAAGAATTCCATATGCATATAGTATGCAGCCATATGCTTTTACATATGCATTTTGTTATATAATTGTGCAAGTTATTTCATTATACATGTTAAATACAGAGAATGAAAAATAATCATAAAATAAAAATACTTGGAAAAGCAATTCTTTGTGACTCGAAGGTTCAAATTAACTTCGACACATACAGGAAAATGATTTCCTGTTTTTTACTGTGTTTCTGGTCTTTTACTCCTAAAATAGTTACATAAAATTCTACTGATTCTTATTTTTCTAATTATCAGTCTATTCAACCTTTTTGTCCATGTTACTCATATATTATTTTCTCAGGTACCATCCTAATACCCCTCAGCCATTTGATTAAACAAATCCCCTCAGCTCACTTGTATGCTATTACAGTTGCAGCAGTTTAATGTACACCTTTCTAAAATCCTGTGCTTTGGACCCATTTTGTTTCTCCCCAATCCACAGAATAGAGAATTAAGCCAGAAAAAGAAAAGTTAGCTTGATCTTGATCAGCTTAATCTAGAATTTATCACTTCTATTCAAAATGGTTTTACATGTACATAGTGTTGTCAACATATTTATAATCATAAGAAATATAAATTTCAACAATTACTAATTGCATATTCTATAAAAAGAACCTCATTATCTGTTATAATTTTATACTTCATTAAAGCTTTTTGTGTGTGTATCGTACTCTTTCTCATCATCAAAGAGTATCTGAAGCTCATTAACTATCTTGAAATGACAAATTACTTTCTTTCTTTGACTACAAGTTTCTCTCCTTTTTATCAGTAAGCATTTTCCTTTCAAGATTACATTTAATCTTTTTTTACCCTTTAAATGATTTACTTCTTAACTAACATGAACAACTTTATAATTAAATGTTTTGACAGGAAAAAAGCTTATCTGTTTTGCTGAAGAGCATATATATAGATTGGTACACTATATAAAAAGTTTTTATCCCTAACAGTACGGAAATGGAAATATAAGGAATATTATGAATACAAAAATAATCTTTAAGCTTGATTAATACAAATGCTTTTAAGGATTCTAAATTTTAATGGACTTGAGAATTTCATATGTATTTATCTTATTATGGTTAAATCACATAGCTGAACTCTTTTCCACTGATAACTGTGAAGAGTATTATCATGTCTAAATCATTTAAATATGGGAAAAACAGTTCTGCTGTGGTGTCAGTAAGTGATAATTAGTCTTCCTGTTCACATTTTTTTGCCTTATACACTTTCAAGAGTGAATTTTGTGTTGATCTCAATAGCAATGAAAACAACTAAATATACCAGATTTCACAGAGCAGATATCACATATGGGATGGCTGCCAAGAGAAAACCACTCAGGTTCCAAGCCCCATGATGAGCTCTGGGATATAGACCTGTCATGAAGAGCAACTCAATCTCTTCCATATTTGTAAATAAAAAATAAAAATAAGGGTACAGAAATAATTCATGACAGTAGGAAATTATACATTTCATTTTGTATTGGCGGAGCCCTACTTTTACAAACTTACTTTTATTTTTTATCACGTCAGTCTCTATTTTACTGCTTGTCAAGAGTGCAATTAATGCTGATTTTACTGAAAGACATATTTATTAATAAGCAGTTAAATCCGCCTTCAGGAATACTCAAATGATTTTTTTAAAATATAATGTTTAAAATTGTATGCCTCTAAAATCTATATAATTATACATTACATAATTTAAGATAATTTTATCATTTTGTATATACACAGACACATATAATTCTGCCAGCGTGTAGTATAAAAATTTATTATTTTTCTTTCAAATAATGCACTCTTTATAAATGAATATGATGTTAAAATATACCTACTTTTTTCTAATTTTGATGAAATAATTTAATCTATAAGTTCATTTTATGAGAAGTTTTGCAAAATTGGTATAAGATAAGGCAGGATATACCAACAAATTCAGAAAAAGAAATTTTTACAGCAACTGCTTTTACAATCTTCTGAGAATTTCTTTTTTTTTTCTCCTCACCCTGCTTCTTTTATTTAATAATATGTCTTGAAGATCTTTCCATAAAAGCAGGTACATATCTACCTCTTTGTTTTTAAGAGCTGCACAATATTATAACATATGGATACACCATAATTTATTAAGCCAGTTGCCTGTTGATATATTTGTTGCTTGTTTTTAATTTTTTTTCTTTTTTTATTATACTTTAAGTTTTAGGGTACATGTGCACAACGTGCAGGTTTGTTACATATATACATATATGTGCCATGTTGGTGTGCTGTACCCATTAACTCGTCATTTAGCATTAGGTATATCTCCTAATGATATCCCCCCCACTCCCCCCACCTCACAACAGGCCCCAGTGTGTGATGTTCCCCTTCCTGTGTCCATGTGTTCTCACTGTTCAATTCCCACCTATGAGTGAGAACATGTGGTATTTGGTTTTTTGTCCTTGCGATAGTTTGCTCACAATGGTGGTTTCCAGCTTCATCCATGTCCCTACAAAGGACATGAACTCATCATTTTTTATGGCTGCATAGTATTCCATGGTGTATATGTGCCAAATTTCTTAATCCAGTCTATCATTGTTGGACATTTGGGTTGGTTCCAAGTCTTTGCTATTGTGAATAGTGCCACAGTAAACATACGTGTGCATGTGTCTTTATAGCAGCATAACTTATAATCCTTTGGGTATATACCCAGTAATGGGATGGCCGGGTCAAATGGTATTTCTAGTTCTAGATCCCTGAGGAATTGCCACACTGACTTCCACAATGGTTGAACTAGTTTACAGTCCTGCCAACGGTGTAAAAGTGTTCCTATTTCTCCACATCCTCTCCAGCACCTGTTGTTTCCTGACTTTTTAATGATTGCCATTCTAACTGGTGTGAGATGGTATCTCATTGTGGTTTTGATTTGCATTTCTCTGATGGCCAGTGATGATAAGCATTTTTTCACATGTCTTTTGGCTGCATAAATGTCTTTTTTGGAGAAGTGTCTGTTCATATCCTTCACCCACTTGTTGATGGGGTTGTTTGTTTTTTTCTTGTAAATTTGTTTGAGTTCTGGATTTGTAGATTCTGGATACTAGCCCTTTGTCAGATGATTAGATTGCAAAAATTTTCTCCCATTCTGTAGGTTGCCTGTTTACTCTGATGGTAGTTTCTTCTGCTAGGTACCAGGAGGAGCTGGTACCATTCCTTCTGAAACTATTCCAATTAATAGAAAAAAAGGGACTCCTCCCTAACTCATTTTATGAGGTCAGCATCATCCTGATACCAAAGCCTGGCAGAGACACAACAAAAAAAGAGAATTTTAGACCTCTATCCCTGATGAGCATCGATGCAAAAATCCTCAATAAAATACTGGCAAACCGAATCCAGCAGCACATTAAAAAGCTTATCCACCATGATCAAGTGGGCTTCATCCCTGGGATGCAAGGCTGGTTCAAAATAGGAAAATCAATAAATGTAATCCAGCATATAAACAGAACCAATGACAAAAACCACATGATTATCTCAACAGATGCAGAAAAGGCCTTTGACAAAATTCAACAGCCCTTCATGCTAAAATCTCTCAATAAATTAGGTATTGATGGGACGTATCTCAAAATAATAAGAGCTATTTATGACAAACCCACAGCCAATATCATACTGAATGGGCAAAAACTGGAAGAATTCCCTTTGAAAACTGGCACAAGACAGGGATGCCCTCTCTCACCGCTCCTATTCAACATAGTGTTGGAAGTTCTGGCCAGGGCAATCAGGCAGGAGAAAGAAAAAAAGGGTATTCAATTAGGAAAAGACAAAGTCAAATTGTCCCTGTTTGCAGATGACATGATTGTATATCTAGAAAACCCCATTGCCTCAGCCCAAAATCTCCTTAAGCTGATAAGCAACTTCAGCAAAGTCTCAGGATACAAAATCAGTGTGCAAAATCACCAGCATTCTTATACACCAATAACAGACAAACAGCCAAATCATGAGTGAACTCCCATTGACAATTGCTTCAAAGAGAACAAAATACCTAGGAATCCAACTTACAAGGGATGTGAAAGACCTCTTCAAGGAGAACTACAAACCACTGCTCAGTGAAATAAAAGAGGATACAAACAAATGGAAGAACATTCCATGCTCATGGGTAGGAAGAATCAATATTGTGAAAATGGCCATACTGCCCAAGGTAATTTATAGATTCAATGCCATCCCTTTCAAGCTACCAATGACTTTCTTCACAGAATTGGAAAAAACTACTTTAAAGTTCATATGGAACCAAAAAAGAGCCTGCATTGCCAAGTCAATCCTAAGCCAAAAGAACAAAGCTGGAGGCATCATGCTACCTGACTTCAAACTATACTACAAGGCTACAGTAACCAAACCATGATACTGGTACCAAAACAGAGATATAGACCACTGGAACAGAACAGAGAATTTCTTAATGACTGAAATTTTATGAGAGAGAGAGAGAAAATCTAAAGTGTTTAAGTATCAGAAATTTTTAATTCAGCAAATTAAATATATTTTGTTATACAAGGGTCCAGAAATTTTTATATCTGCCCCCCAGGTGAACAGAATTAGATTAATTTTCATATATATTTACTACATGGAAGTTCAGTCTGTGTATGGCTGTATGCATGTAGGTAGGTAGGTAGTGTGTATGCATTTTTATTATATGATAAGCAACCACAAAATCAACAAAAACTCAAAGCTAGAAATGTGTCAAGATCTACTTCTAGCTATTCTTTTCATCTACTTTTGATTATTTGTTATTCTACCTCCTTGCTTATAACTAGAGATAGTCCATATCTTGAGTTTTTTATACCTAGAGATACTCAATATCTTGAATTTTTTTGTTTTCATTGTTTCTTTTCATATTGTAAAAAGTGTTGTTACATATATGCTTATGTCTGTACAATTCTTGTTTAGATCTTACTTGTTTTTGAATATTGTATAAAAAATCATCTCCAAGGACTTGCTTATTTCATCTTAATTATAATTAAATTACTATTAACTTATATCCATATTGTATCTATGAAGCTGTGGTCCATTCATGCCCATATTTAATATTACATTGTGTAAATATATGACAATTTATCTTTGGTTTTCTGACTTTTATCTATTAAAAACATTGATGTAATGAGCATTATTATTTTCTTTTTCTTTCAAATATTTTATGGGCATATGTTTAGTCCTTCACAAATAAACATATTGTTAGATTTTTAAAAATCCATTGTGATAGTTTGTTTCTCTTAGCTAGCATGTTTATTCAATTGAAATGTATGTATGTATGTATGTGTGTGTTCTCCAATGTTGCAACTTGTTAATAAACTTGACTCTGTTTAACTACATATTTGTTCCTGGTTGGCTTTGGCTGGAATGCATGAAAATTATCATCAACTCAGTTTAAAAGAAGTGATTTGCTCTCTCTCAACACATTAATCTCTCCCTAAACGTGTTTTTAAATTATAAGGTTTTTTATAATCAAAAGGATCTTATAACAGAGAATATACAGCATTTCTGGTTATTTGCTACAACTTGCATAATAACAATATATTTTTTGTTTTATCTTGATCAGTTTTCATATCTTTATTTGTCCCAGATGTTTTAATTTTTTTATGAGAGCAAGTTTCCAATAAAGCTTGAAAATCTTTTATGGATCCAACATTTTCCTGACCTTTCTGGGCCTCAAGCCAGGTAGATTCATATTTAAATGTCAATATTTGATGTATTTCTCAGTTTACATATATTTTTCTCCCAGTTGGAATGTGGCTTGCTGTAAAATGAAATCTCTATTTCAGAACATGGAATTACATGAAAGTGTTCAACTTGGAGGTAAAAGACAGGAGCAGAACATATCTTAAACATTGAATATCTGTACCTACAGTTCAGGCTGGTATAATTCCATGTGTTTTAGAATACATGCTGGCTTATTTTCAGGCAATATGAACTCAGTTTCTTCCTCTTTACTTTATGAGTACAAGCATTTGTTCAAGGGCTACTACTTAATTCACTTTATTGTATATCATTTTAGACCATAAATCCCAAGATGCAGAGAGACCAGCAACAAAATATTTATGTACTTCACATATTATCTTAAATACACAGTCTGCTCTTTTTCTAACATCAAAAGCAGCATTAATCTGCCTAGCACAAAAACACTTAAAATGTGGTTAAGTAAATATAATTATATATCATCATCTAACTGACAAAAATAATAATAAACCAATTGCTTAGCATTTACTTTGTATTTTTTATTTTTCTTTAAAGCTAAGTGCTTTTAGTGGACATTTATGCAACCCTCAGAACAGCCCTGTGGTCTTAACGTTAATATTAACCCTTTTCATTGATGAAGAAATTTAGTCTTACATAGTAAATTACTTATTCAAGGTCATCCATGAGTAACCTATTTATTTAAAGATTTAGTGCAATTAATATCAAAATTTAATCTCTAACTCTATTCAAAACTTCTTACATCTTTCCCTCATCTCAAATATGATTTCTCACCACTCATTCCATAGAGCAGCAATGATGGTTCCAGCTTCTAGCTTGATGTTCTCCCTGTTCCAATTCCTTTATCTCTTGCCCCCTTCCTTTTGCCTCTTCTGATCTCAGGGCAAGAAATGAGTGATATAAAATATTGAAAATATGGAAATACAGTAATGAAGCAAACTTATACTAACTGTTTAGTTTTATTTGTAGTTTTCTCTTTTCTCTCATGACAGGCTACAATAACTGTCACTGGCTATGATTAACACAAATTTATCTAAAATTTCATAGGTTTTATTTAGCTCTGTTGGAAAGCTAGTCTCCATGATATTTCTGGACATCTTGCATCAGCTTTTGTGCTGGACCAACTTTTCAAGAATGTTTGCATAGCAAACAGGTTTGGAAATAAGCATAGTATCTTCCTGCCTGTCAAAGAGCAAATTTGTTTATTATCCTTTAAATTTCTTTAAACTTGTTGAAGGATAATAAAGATAATGTCTCCCTCCAGGGTAATATTTGGGCAAGCTTGCTAGATGCCTCCTTTAAAATATTGAAGTTTCCTAAACTTGGGGTTTCTCAGCTATGAACCAAATCTACCATGTGTCCTCCATATAACTGAGCCTGCTCCTGCATTTCCCATAGGGGATAGGGGAAAGAGTCACTACTGATGTAAACATTAAGCTCATTCTCTATGCTGTGCCATGATAAATAAATCCCTTTGTTGCTAACCCAGGAATCTCTTTTATATGCTTCCATCTATGAAACCTGGGAAGGCTAACTTGTTAGCTTAAAGAAAAAGTTCAACGCCTTCAAAATTCTTAACAAGGTTCTTCCCCACTGATACATCTCTGGAAGGGGTCACTATTGGGCAGGGTTCTTTGAGAAAACTGCAAGACCTGATCCTTTCCCCAAGTCACTCAGAGCAAAGGAAAAGTCAGCTCTATAAAGCTCTGATAATTTAGGCTTTCTCATTGCTGTTTCTCATCTGCCCACCCACAAGGACTTTGAACAACCACTTTAGGACTTCTTTGGGCAAAAGTTGGCATTAGGTTCTCAGATCTTCATAAGGGGCATGCCAAGTTCTCCCAATAACTCTTTCATGCTCTGGTCATGTTGCGGCACTGGAGAGGCAATGGAGATATTGCAGTTCAGGCGGTATCCAGCTGTTCCGAAATGTGCTAGCATTTGCTTTTTCACTAATATCTAATCTATTTAATGGTCCTACTTAAAGTAACCAGTCAACTAATTGATTGTTACTGGCCAATGAGATAAGAAACTTGTGATAATTGGTGTATCTCTACACTGTTTCTGTCATTGGAAACATTTTCCTGTGGAAAAATAAAATGACAGCTGAATTAAATAGAATACTTGAAGACGTTATTTTATTGTGGTGCAAACTCCTTGTCGCATTGTGGGCTAGGGAAGTATTGCTAATATTACATTTAATCATACACATTTATTATGTAGGTTCATACTATTTCTTACCTGAGACCAGGAAAAATAGCTTAGAGCTCTTTACTCTCTTAAAAATCTCTTTAATGAATCACTTTTCCAAGCCTTCTCTAGTCTTTTATTCTTGCAAATATTGGAGGTATTGGTCACCGATTATTTTTGATTTCTTCTTGCAGGTCCCATTGACATGTGTCTTTTTGTTTTGTTTTGTTTTGTTTTGTTTTTTGCATTTATCTCTCATCCTCACCTTTGAAGTCATGGCCAATACATTAAAATAAAAGAATACATAATCATCAGTTGAGCTCAGATGCAAAGTCACAGAGAGGTAAAAAGGGCAGAAATAAGCAATTTTGGAGAGGTCTTAAGAGGAATCTATATCTAAACTATCATAACTAAATTAATCCAACATACGATGTCGAGATCTCTAAAACAATGTTTCTCACTATGTTTTCTTAATCATTTCCTCTCTGTTTGGAGCCAATGCTTTTAAAACTAGGATACAAGTTGATTATTTGAAAAAGAAATTTAAAAATACATGAAGTACAAGCTCAACATTTTTATCAATAGATTCAACAGACATAAAATTACTGTCACAATGATTATAATATTGTTTGACATCAATTCCTATGCTAACTTGTGTGGTCAGTAATAAATACTTTATGAGGGAAATGAGTCTGTGGACTGCAATTTGAGTATGAATATGCCAAAACATTTCTGGATATTAATATTATATTCAGTGGCCCACATTATTCCTTACTGTACAGAATAGTCCAAATGTCAAGGTTTTTTCCCAAGTCAAGTGACTGATCTTTTTAGAACTTTGATTAAAATTTGGACCATCCTTAATGTTTATCCTTCCAAAAATAGTGATATTTCTGTTATTTTAATAATTATTGGTATGTTGCTATTTCCTCATATAGTTCACTAATAAAAGGTTATTAATTCACTTATATGTAAACTGTAGTTTAATTTCTATATTTACTGTTGCTAACTTGCTATTTTGTGGTATCATTTCAAATACCTATACTAATTATTTGCAGAAAAAATAACTCTCTTTAAAAAAATTCTGTTCATCTGTACATACAATGTTATATTTCTGGATTCGAGAGCACATCTGGTGGTTTTGTTGTTGTTGTTGTTGTTGTTTTTGAGACAGAGTCTCCCTCTGTTGCCAGGCTGGAGTACAGTGGCATGATCTTGGCTCACAGCAGCCTCCGCTTCCCAGGTTCAAGTGATACTCATGCCCCAGCCTCCCAAGTAGCTGGGACTACAGTCATGTGCCACCACTCCCAGCTAATTTTTGTATTTTTAGTAGAGACAGGGTTTCACCATGTTGGCCAGGATGGTCTCGATCTCTTGACCTCATGATACACCCGCCTCAGCCTCCCAAAGTGCTGGGATTACAGGCATGAGCCACTGTGCCCAGCTGCCCATCTGTTTTTAAATGTTAATTTACCAACATGACTGCAGTTTAAACAGTAGAGATTTGTGGCTGCTCTTGGTATTCTGTAATAAAGTTTTCTTTCCCAATAGTCAAAATCTTTTGGGAATTTTGCATGATCTTCAGTGTTAACATAACTTGTTGGCACTAATGATTGCTAGTCATTTGATTCTGTGCAAAAGAACTTACATTTAAGCATAGTACTATCAGAATATTTAAAATGTAATTCCTCTTTAATAACATTAATGAACATTTAAAATCATGTTGCACTTTTCTACTATTCTTTCTTACTACCACCAAGGATTTTTTGGTTATTATTTTTTGCTTCACCCTCTACTTCTGCAGCTAAGGAGCATTACATTTCATTTCTTTGTCGCATTTGAAATAATGAGGCTATATCAGTAGCACTAAGGAAACTATTCCATATTTGATTAAATCCTTGCAGAGTGCAGCCAGCTTTCTTTTATATTTGTAGCTACTATCTCACCCACTTAATCCTCCTATGCCATCTAATTTCAAAATGTGATTGTCATTTGGAGATCCCTTTTATATGTCATACCTAAAGGACCATCAGCTTTTCCATCATAAAACCAATATGCACAAATCATGATCTCTTTGTAGTCCATGTGACATATGATTTAGGTAATAACAAATAATCATAATTATTTTTTCTGCTGCTAGAAAGGATATAGTCTAAAAGATGAGTTCTCTTAAATGATTAAGTGTATGTTTTTAAAATTCATGTTTTTGTATCACTTCCGAATAGCATTCCTTAAAATTATGCAGTTCAGTCATTCTAATAATATCTCTGCCACTGAACTAATATGGCATGTTAGCTACTTCTTAACACAAGGGACGTGAATGTTATATTGAATTAAGTTTCAATCTAAGTAATTGCATTTAAATTTGAGAATTAGCACATATTTTGAAACTATTTGAATAATTTGTTCAATTATTTGCTTGTTAAACCAATAAGTAAGTTTTTGAAGTGCCTCTGGTCAATTTGAGGAAATAATATTGGTATACAGTTAACATTGCAAGGTACATACTAATACAATAGGCACACTAGTTTGTTTATTTGCTTATTGTTTTGCTTCTGAGCTTCCAGTAACCCTTCCATTTATTGGGAATACTTTAATGTATTAGACTGAGTAAAGTCCCTTTCTTCAATTGAATGCATTAACCTACTATTCTGGACCTTGAGTGAATAAAATATTAAGAACAGCAGTGAAAGTACTCATTGCTTCAGTGGTACTGAGAGTCTATTTCCAGTAAAGCCAGCACCTGCATTCTAAGGGACTGCTGCTCTATGTGCTGGGCTCTAACCTTCACTGCTCAGCCTCCACTAGCTCCTGACAATTTTCTGATCTTGGTTTTTCAGCAGTCCCATGGATTCTATGACATCCCTGTTGACAGAAAATAAAAATAAAAACAATAACAATTGAAACAATTTTTAAAAATCTCTCTCAAAGATCCTGATAGATGCAATCCAGAAATGGGATGGTGGTTCTAATCTAGTAAGTCTACAGAAGACTTCATACCTTCCAGCTCTTTGTTTTGTCATTCTAAGTGTGTATGATTGGTCTGCAGGTCCACGTGAGAGCTCCACCTGTCAAGAAGTAGTAGAAACAGGAAGGAACAAAGAAGGGAGAAGGTGTCTTAAGGCTCCCCGAAAATCAGAAAATGCTACTTGCCTCTTCTATTCAAGCTCCGGAGAAGTGGTCTTTCTGCCTTTGATCAGAGCTTAATTGCATGGTCATCCCTAAAAGCAACAGAGGATGGGTGGTATATGTAGCTTTTATTAAAGGATAATTTGTGTCCTCATTTGGCCTCCCAAATATGCTCATTTCCTCCTCTTTCTACATATAAACACAGGCACTTTCTACCTAAGTAAGAAGAATAACTTTGTTTAGCTCCTCTCTGCAATGTGCAATGCCCTCCAGCATGTTCAGTTTTAGATTATTGTGGTCAGGTGATTTATAAATAAAGATATTTATTACTTATACCCCCAGATCTTTTAAAATAAAAGAAAGTAGGAACAAGATAAAAGGAATTAAGGAAAAAGAAAGCAAACAAAAAACTTCACATTAGGGCAAAGGGATATTGTTCAAAGCACTCAGAAGTTGCATGTCCCTAGTAGTTATTAATTCATGCTTAGAAAGAATGCAAAAATTTGCTTCACTCAAAGTAGAATATCAGTTAGCTCATCTTACAGCTCAATGTACTATTCATTAGGAAGAATTCTCTTGCCCATTGATCCTCATGGTCATTGACTTTGTTGCTTGAAAATTCTTCTCTTTTATCTTCCATTGCCTCTTCTGAACTGGACATTATGAAATTAGGCCTTCCACTTCCACTTCGTATGGTATACATTTGTGAGCCTGGTAATATGGTAATTTCTTTTTTTTTTTAAGATGGAATCTCACCTGTCGCCCAAGCTGGAGTGCAGTGGCACAATCTCGGCTCACTGCAACCTCTGCCTCCCAGGTTCAAATGATTCTTCTGCCTCAGCCTCCGGAGTAGCTGAGATTACAGGCGTGTGACCAGGCCTGGCTACTGTTTGTATTTTTTAGGAGAGACGCAGTTTCACCATGTTGGCCAGGCTGGAGGGTGATTTCTAGAAGTTGAAAATGTCAGGAGATTTTGATATCTTTGGCAATACAATTTTTTTGAAACAATAATCTTCTGATTTATTATTTCTGGTCAGTTCCATATGCAGAAAACCACAGTCAAATACTTTGCTCTTTTTAAATTTAAAACTCAAAAGACTGGTTTTTCACTTCATAATATAGGTATTCTCCTTATTCTTCTATCTTAACATAATATTATATAGCTTGAGATCATTTGAAAAAAAATGAGTTGGATGTGAAGGCAAGAGTCTTGATCCAGTTTCTACTATCAGGCTACTGGTAATATATGTTAGAGCCTCAGTGTTAAGACTGTTATTCATGTCTTTGCTATTGTGAATAGTGCTGCAATGAACATATGTGTGGATGTGCTTTTATAATAGAATGATTTATATTCCTTTGGGTATATACCCAGTAATGGGATTGCTGCATCAAATGGTATTTCTGTCTTTAGGTCTATGAGGAATAACCACACTGTCTTCCACAATGGTTGAACTAATTTACACTCCCACCAGCCGTGTGTAAGTGTTCCTTTCTTTCCACAACTTCAGCAGCATGTTATTCTTTTTACTTTTTAATAATCACCATTCTGACTGGTCTGAAATGGTATCTCGTTGTGGTTTAGATGTGCATTGCTCTAATGAGGAAAAAAACAAAACAAAAACAAAAGACTACCCTTCAAACCCCACTACTCACGACTGCTTCAACTTGAAGCACAGAAGCTCATTCTCTCTCTACATTACAGACTCTTAGTCAAGCATGTTACAGGGGAAAGTGCTTCCCTTAGTAAATTTGTGTTCCCTTGTTATCTCTGCTTAAAAACTATGATCACTAACCGGAGTTTATCTCTAATAGGAGTTAACTGCAAGCATCAAGAAAAAAAAAATTCCACAACTACAGACACACCCTTTCCTATTTCTCCTAATGTTACATTGGGCAGATATAAGTAAGTCATCAATTCCCTAACCTTTGGTATCTGAAATCTCACTGTTTACCTCCTCTCTGCTTCAACTCAATGCTATATATTTGGATCATCTTACTTTCAGCATGCTTATTGCAGTTACCATATTCTGTATCATGTAAGATTAGATTCAATGATTTAAAACATACTAAAAGATTATATCCCATTAAAAATTGTGAAAGTATGCAATCTGGTACTGATAGAAATTGGTTCTTTTAAAGTTTGAGAATATTCTTTACCCTCCTTGCAAACTATTTATTTTTATTTCTACTTTTCCTGGTTAAGTATATTATACTATCTGTTAGGTGTAAAAAAGCATAATGTGTAAATTTATATCTCACACCATTTTATACTATAGGTTAACAAGGACTTTGAATTAAAAATATTAATAATCCAATATACCATCTTTAGGGATTTATAATAACAAAGGTGATTTTCTGTTTTTTGTTTGTTTGTTTTCTTTTGTTTTGAGACAGAGTCTCGCTCTTGTTGCCCAGGCTGAAGTGGAATGGCGCGATCTCGGCTCACCGCAACCTCCACCTCCCAGATTCAAGTGATTCTCCTGCCTCAGCCTGCCAAGATAGCTGGTATTACAGGTGCCTGCCACCACACCTAATTTTGTATTTTTTAGTAGAGACCAGGTTTCACCATATTTGTCAGGCCAGTCTTGAACCCCTGACCTAAAGTGATCCACCCGCCTCGGCCTCCCAAAGTGCTGGGATTATAGGCGTGAGCCAACACACCCGGCCAACAAAGGTGATTTTCATTTAAATTCTGCATATAAAAATACATTGACTGGCACTTTAGAGCATAAGCTTTCATTTTCTGGTAAATTCAGTTTCCAGTGATGACAAACAAATGACATGGTACGATTTTTTTGTTTTTACAAAAGCCAATCAGATTTCAACATTCTCTTGTCTGAAATCCACCAACACCTTCTTAATGAATTTAACACACCACTATAGCTCCTTACGATGACATTTGAGACTCCACATGATCTTACCTTTGCCACTTTCCCCAATATCTTCAATTACCATGTCCTTTACTACAGATAGTCCATACTGAGTTATCTTAGCTTCTCAAGCATGTCAAGCTCATTCTTGCCTCGGAAAATGTTCTCTTGTTATCCTTTTTGCCTGGAACACTCTTATTCCCGATCCTTATGGAACTGTTGGCTTCTGTCCATTCAGGTTCTAATGATCATTCTTTCAAATGATGCCAGCTCCCTTCATATCTAAGACAATTTATGTTACAATGGACCGTTTTCTTTCCCCATAGAAATAATCTAAAAAATATTTTTTTCTTTTATTTTAAAAATGTACTTGCTGTATTTTGCTGGCATGTAAGTTCAATGGGTGAAGAGATTTAGCTTTTCCTTAGTGCTTAGGTCATTGATTGGCACATAGTGGATAGTCAAGGAAGTATTTATGAAATAAATGACTTTTATTTCTATGTATGTTTACTTGTTTTGAAAATGAGTCAAGAAACTCTTTTTCTCACAGAATTTCCCATACTCAATTTGCATGCATCTAGCCTTTCAGTTTTACTTTCTTTTACCTCAATCTAATCTATTTATATAATCACTTTATACTAGAGAGCTGTCAGAATAGCTGATCTTTATTGCAGTACCTAATTGCATCCCAAACTCTCAGTAATTGTTAATTATCAATAGTAACAAAACATTCAAGAAAAATTGGCCTCTAGCTCTGTGGAAATGTTATTCACAGAAACTACAATTTAAGGTTGACATTACTGAAGAGCGTACCAAAAAGCACTGTAGTCACTTTTTTCTGTTTATGTAACACGTGGCTCTCTCCCAATATTATTGCTGTCAGTATCTTGGATAACATTTAGTTTCCTAAAGAAAACATTTTGTTTTCCTTATGTGGTTATAAGCATAACTTTTAAGGAGTTGGTTCATTATTTTTGATACTATTTATTAGACTGGAAGTTTTCTTACCTTCTTATAATGGTGAATTTCAATCTATTTGTATTTGTCCTGATATTCATGACCAAGCTATAGCAAATAAGATAAACACAAAAGCCAACTAAAAAAGATAATTTTAAGAAGTAGAATGGAGAAAAAACCTTACTAATTATTTTGTTGATTTTAAGTAAGTGGGTCAACTGTCATTATATGAAGGAGAAAATTAAGACAATTTTGGCATTGTTATCAAGTTAGTATTGCCACAGAAAATGAATATCAGGTTTAAAATATATGCTAACAATAAAACAGAACCCTCATAGGATGAAAACTGAATGAGATTTAAGGCTGGGCAAAAGATGTTAGTTTTTTTTTTAAGATTTACTATGTTATTGTTTTTTATTTTCCTCTGTTAAAAGCAGAAATACCTCTTTCACAATAAACATTTTCAGATTATTAAATCGGAAAGGAAAGATAAGAAAAATATTCACTGAAATTAAAGAGAATCAGGATTTGGTTAGTAATACAAGAAAGTAGACTTGCTACTGGCTTAACATTTTTCTTGAATAATCTTTACTTTGCCAAGTACTGAATAGTGTCAGAGACATGTAATAATGTGTATATAAGAATGTTCCTTTTTATTACCTTTGTTTATTAGGAACTACAATTTAATGAGAACATTACTATGTGTAAAATAACTTTTGTGCTTTATGCGATTCACTAAAAAGACAGTGCTTAATGATTTGTGATAGTTTTGAGCTTGTAAGAAGTTATATAAAGCCTGCAATTATTATTTTTGCTGCCTCTAAAGTGCATTAAAGCATATTTTTTAGTCAAGTTCATTGCCAAATTCTTCTTCTTTGAGACTAGGAAAACCCATTTGTAACATAGAAACATGGATTTCTGAGCTACTCTGGGTGGCTCTGAATTTCAAAGCAAGAATATCTTACAAATTGGTCCGATGTAGAGAAAATTAAAAAAAAATTTTTTTGCATATTGTTGTGGGAAATCAGGGACCCTGAATGGAAGGACCAGCTGGAGCCATGGCAGAAGAACATAAATTGTGAGGATTTCATGGACATTTATCAGTTCCCAAATAATACTTTTATAATTTCTTATGCCTGTCTTTAATCTCTTAATCCTGTTGTCTTCATAAGCTGAGGATGTACATCACCTCAGGACCACTGTGATAATTGTGTTAACTGTACAAATTGATTGTCAAACATGTGTGTTTGCACAATATGAAATCAGTTCACCTTGGAAAAGAACAGAATAACAGCAATTTTTAGGGAACAAGGGAAGACAACCATAAGGTCTGACTGTCTGCAGGGTCGGGCAAAAACAGCCATATTTTTCTCTTGTAGAGGGCCTGTAAACGGATGTGCAAGTAGGAGAGGTATCGCTAAATTCTTTTCCTAGCAAGGAACATTAATATTAATACCCTGAGAAAGGGATGTGCTCCTGCAGGGAGGTCTATAAACGGCCGCTCTGGGAACGTCTGTCTTACGTGGTTGAGATAAGGACTGAGAAAGGCCCTGGTCTCCTGCAGTACCCTTAGGCTTACTAGGGTGGGGAACAACTCTGTCCTAGTAAATTTGTGGTCAGACCGGTTCTCTGCTCTCGAACCCTGTTGTCTGTTGTTTAAGATGTTTATCAAGACAATACGTGCACCACTGAACATAAACCCTTATCAGTAGTTCTGCTTTTGCCCTTTGTCCTGTTCCCTCAGAAGCATGTGATCTTTGTTAGACCCTTATTAGTAGTTCTGCTTTTTGCCCTTTGAAGCATGTGATATTTGTACCTACTCCCTGTTCTTTCACCCCCTCCCCTTTTGAAACCCTTAATAAAAACTTGCTGGTCTGAGACTCAGGCAGACATCACAGTCCTACCAATATGTGATGTCACTCTTGGTGGCCCAGCTGTAAAATTCCTCTCTTTATACTGTCTCTCTTTATTTCTCAGCTGGCTGACACTTATGGAAAATAGAAAGAACCTACATGGAAATATTGGGGGTGGGTTCCCCCAATAGCACATTTTATTGATTATTTATTGAACCAGTCATTGAAATCACCTTTACATCGAGATGACATTTTTAATAATAATGTGTCAATATTTTGATTACAATGTATTGTTCAGTAAAGTTGGATTTT
Organism: Homo sapiens; assembly: GCF_000001405.40. Classification (NCBI taxonomy): domain Eukaryota; kingdom Metazoa; phylum Chordata; class Mammalia; order Primates; family Hominidae; genus Homo; species Homo sapiens. Next base: position 69,017,791 of record NC_000013.11, on the reverse strand, counting down.
ATTCAAAAGCATAGAGAATATTTCTACATTCAAATTTTAAGAAAAACAAAGCAATATTATTAATACATTACTAAGATTTTGATGATTTTAGTAAATCGCATCATCTCTACACCAGGGAATTATTTTAAAGCTGTTACACTCTTCTTCTTTATTATGGCAAGCCTATCAATGCACTTACAAGCCTCTCCAACCCCTTAGAACTACCATAAACACACACTCTCTCTCTCTGTCACACACACACACACACACACCAACAACTATACCACCACCACCACCACACTCTGAGGGAATTTTTCATGTGAGCAATCCAGGTGGCCACAGTCTCACTTTCTGCATGCTGGTGTACAGCAAGACACATTCACACACACTAACTTTTTTTCTTTAATTTCCCCCCTGAGGAACATGTGATGGGAGTTAATGCTTGCATTTGTATTTCATAGCTCATTTTCCCACACATTTTTAAGGAATCTTCTGCATCATTTATTTCTTCTCCTTGAATCTTTACATTCAATTTCTTTAATGACTCTTTCTCCTTAGGTTTAAAATGATAGTCTCTCACATCTTTAAATAGTTTTCCCTCAATTCTGAACTTCTAAATTTATCTTAAGCTACTTTTGTAACGCTTTCTTTCATTTCACTATCTTCAAAGTACTCTATGCTCATTATGCTAAATAACATATTTTATATTTTCCTTTATTTTGACCCATATGTGAGCTATATTGAATTCACCATGGATAAGTCATGCCCCTGCTGTATTTTAATATCCAACCTGAAAATTTTAAAATTTCAAAAATTGATTGTGGCTTATAGATTGAACAATCCAGAGAAAACATATGATTAGATTGCTGTTTCTTTTAATAACATAGCCTAAAACATCTGTGAACAAATTGAATTAATACTTTATATGAGAATAGAATTTGAAAGTGAGATGCTCCATGTCACACTCATTCCACTTATATATTGAATGGCTGTTAAGCTGCCAGATTATCATTTCATGTACTTTGCATGCTCCAGTTATTAACAAGAAAAAAAGAAAATTTTAAAAACTCCTAGAATTAAAGAACAAATATTTTATAAACTCACTGTAATCTGTAATAAAAAGTAAATTATAAGTATCTTAGAAGGTTATAAGTGCAAATGATAGATAAAAGAGACAAAATAAAGCCCTGACATGGTGGCATTTGAGAAAACATCTGTAGGAAGTTCAGGAGGTGCCATGTCAGTATGTAGGGAACACTCTTCCAGGCAAGGGTATTACCAGTGCAATAGCCCTGAGGCCTGAGCACAACCATTTACTCTGAGGAACAGCAAGGTTGCTAGTCTGTATCAAGCAGAGTGAAGAATAGTCATGACAGGTGAGGTTATGAAGAAACAAGTGGTTTGTAGGATCTAACTGGGAATTTTCCATCTCCCAGGGGCTCCACAAATGAAATGAAAATGTATTGTCAGTCTAGGTTTCCTTAGAAAACTTTTGACTACAGAAAACAAAGCAGTTTTGTTATATGATCATGGTCTTTCTTCTTGAGTTTATTTGAATTTCCATATAACATGCTCGGAGACTCTACATATAACCACTCTTTATATTTTAACTGCAACTTAAGATACCATCTTCTTGTAGTCAATTCAGTAGAATAGATTTCAGTAGGCTCATGTGTTCAGCCTCCGCCAAGGCCCAATAATAGCTAAACACATGATTATCAAAAGGCTTTTACCTTTCAGCTGACTCCGGGAGCTTACAAGTCCATGGGATTACAGGTCCAGAAACCTGATGGGCTCTGCTAACCCTTGCCAGTGTCCCTCTGTCATAGGCTCCAATTAGAAAACTGAGAGGTTGCTGGAACCTATAACTCAAATGGCAAATGTAGATCAGTGAGCCCCTGAAGGAAAGAGAACCTGGGTGGTTTGTTGGAGGGCCCAGAGGGCATCCCTGTTATTTGGGAACCCTGCTCAAAAGTAAAGGCTTTCTGGTAATACTGCAGATTGTGGCCATCAACATTCCTGCACTGGGGGATAGATGAGAGTGCCACACACAGTCCCATCAGTACTGCACCTCATTTTTACTTGTTTAGATAGAGAGGGCTGAAGAGACCTCACAGACTCTTTACTTGATTGACTCAATGAGACATTGATAATCTTGTTAAACCTAGTGTGAGAGAGAATAGCACCCTATGGAGCACATTACTACAGAACCTCTTTATTACTTTTCACAAGTCCCATTTTGCCATAGGAGGAGGAGGAAGCAGAGGGAGGTCCATGAAAATGTGAGATCCTCTCCTTCCTGGGTGGGGCACTATTTGGGCTCTAAAAGGCTTGACCTAATGGTGAGGAGTTCCGTGCCATTAAAACTATGTTTAAACCATTAGTCAACATATAAAGTAGCACTTTAACCTCAGAAAAAGTTGACATTCATTATCTGCAATATCCATTTAAACCTAGAAATCTATTTTGTTTTTGTTTTGTAAGCATTCTAGGATAAGTTTGGGTAGTCCTTAGTCAATCATAAAAGAGGGCTTTTTCTTTCCTCATACAGTCATGCCCTAAATAAGGGACTGCATTTTGGCAAAATTGTAATTTACCTTTTTAAACTTTATGTTCCCTATATACTAAGAGAATAAGTAAATAAAGTTCTTTATGTAGTTTTCTTTATTCTCTGCACAATGTAGGTAGTCATCTATGTATTACGTCAGAACTGAATCTGAAATGAAATTTACATCTTTTGTCTTGACTGATGACATGGAGAAAATTATTGATGGATCAGGGGTTGGTAAATTCTGGGAATATGAATACCCACATGTCATTGTCCTCCCCAGGTGAAGGGAAAGAGCTGTTGACTGTTCTAGTTTGGAAGCACACTGAAAAATGCCGTACAAGAATACACTACAGAGAAACAGGTGGTTTCAGGTGGAATTCATGAGAGAATTGTATTTTAGTTTATTTCCAAGAAGTAAGGAATAACAGTTTTGTTGATGGCCCTGAGTTCTGAAATAAATCAATATCACTGCTCATGTGGTTTCCTCACTGGGAGGACAGGGGTGGTTAAAAGACTAACACAATGTACCAGAACACTTCTGAATATAAAGTCTTCAAATACAGATGTGTGTCCTTCTGCTTTGGGGTTCAGGTGATATTAGGGATGTTTGGGAAATCATTTGGTAGAATCTATCCATTAATGGGTTCTTCTCTAATTATTTTTCCTAAGTCTGTGGAATTTTTAGCCCATAGCATGCTAGATGTGATGCTAATATTTTAAGATGTTTTGAATCATATCCCAGAAGGTGTTTATCTGGGATATGATTCAAAGATAAAGGAGCAGACACAACTTGAATATGACCAGATAAATCTCCTGAATTTCAAGAATTGCTCGCCCTTGTGTGAATGTAATCTTACAATTCTGTTTGGAAAGTAAATCTTTCCCCATTAAATAGGTACAGGTGGTATCAATTTTCAGAGGAGGGCCGAATGTTTTTTTTTCTTTTTCTTTTTTTCCGGAGTCTAAGGTTAAGAATTAAGGCCTAGGAGAAAAGGAATATCTGTGGGTAACTCAAAATACATACCAAATGTGTGATATGTTTATTCCTGGGAAGATTTTGAGCAAAGATGGTAGAGTTTAATATAAAAAGGGTAG